>NC_000006.12:101888971-102040486 GCF_000001405.40 Homo sapiens | reverse complement strand
ACTTCTACCATAAAAACTCAATGTTACATTTTTTACTTTAGGCTAATTATGGGTAAGTACATTATAATTTGATAAAAGTTACTTGAGGATTATTAATGGTACTACTGCTTTTTGATATTCATAGATAATATTGTTTTAAAGCATTAGCTTGTAAAGGTAACATTAAAGTCAATTACTAAATAAAATATACCCTAATATTTCTAATTAAATCAGTAAATATGAGAGAAAATGTATATAACAGCTTTGTGTATGGCTAAAATTATTTTTAAATTTAATCTTCATATTAAAGGGCATTGTAAATATGTCCACTTTATCTTTACATTCTTCATGTATAGTGTGTATTTCAGTAATTCTCTATTATATGACTAATTCATTTTGGGTTTTGTTCACAGAAATAGTTACTCACTGTTAAATAATTATACACTCACTGACTGGAATTCACTATTGATTTAATCCCACAAGTAAAATAGAAACAACTGAAATTATAGAAAATTACATTATTAATAATATGCACAAATATGAGCACAATTCCCTCCATCCCTTTTTCAGCTGCCACATACAATGCTTGTTGTTAAAGTTGTGAGGAACTAATACATGAAAGAAAGAGGACACTAACTCATTGCTAAACATAGAAATCATCTTAATGAGACCCTTCAGTCATTTGATAATATTTCTACCAAATTGCATAAAGCAAAGCAAAATAATACCAACTGGCCCTAATGGAATTTTTTCTAGACTGCTGCTTTCCTACCAGCTCACGGACTGCTGAGTCTGCCTAGTCCTCAAAGTGCAATATGCACTCAACATTTGAAAAAGAGAAACCAAGAAGGCTTTTAAGTACAGGCAGTCAGGAGAGAAGCAATGCAGCCAAAAATGCTATTAAGGAGGAGAAATGTTCCCAGTTCAGATAAATAGATTATCACCTATGGTGAAATAAGAGACAAGACGGCACCTGCTCACACAATTTAGACATTCCTTAATGAAACTGCTATGATTTTGCTCCTTGCTTTTAACTCACTCCGAGCCTTTAAAAATATTGTTTTGAATGAAATAAGAAGTTCAGTTAACTTACCAAGTAAGGTCTCCTGCAACTTCAAAAATCTACCACACAGTAAATGCCACATTAAAATAACGTTGCTGCAGTCAGGAAAACTATGAAGGAATTTAATGTCACTCCAAACTTAATTAAACCTGCTTAAGCTTATTTAGCATTTACTTTCACATCATTGTTGATTGCTCCACTAAGCTATTTTTGTGTAAACAGAGGTTCCTTAATTAAATAGCTTATTCTGAGTCATTCAGCGATCTCACAGCACACTTTGGGCAGTAATGATCACACTCAGAGTGATGAATGGTGATGGGGAGGCCCCTAAATGAATCAATTAGAAGGAGGCATGGCAGGCTAAGAAGATAATATATGAATTTGGGGGAAAATGGGGCAGGGGTGGATATATGCACAATTTTTAATTTTTTTTCTGATTTCCCACTCAAAAAGACTCATAATATTTCCCGTTTTAATCTCCTCATCAAACCACATAGGCTTTCTTGAAAATACCTCAAAATCTGAGCAATAATAAAAGCAAAGAAAAGGAAGTTCCCCTCTTTGATCACATATAGGATATTACTAAAGGTGAAATTTTCACTATGGATTATAGCTCCTGAATATATAAATTAAAAAGCCTGGGGAACTTCTGGAAGTAATCTGAGTTTTTCAGAACCTTAGCCCATATTGCTCTGCTTTGAATATAGCTATTCTCATTAACTCTTGCTGAGAAAGAGCAAGAACCTCAAGGAATATTTTTCACACCTTAATGAATTCCTTTTTTTTGTTGTTGTTTATAATTAAGTACAATTTTTAAAGTAAGTAAGTAAGTAAATATATTAACACACTATTATCATTTTCAGTATGCTTCAGCAATGGTAACATAAAAGGCAAATGCTAATTTCCCAGTTGAGAAATGCAGATTATGATAGTGGCTGAAACAATGAACAGCAAAAGAGAGACAAATAAATATCTCTGCCCTTATCCAGACAATGGAAACCAGGAGAGAGTGATAGCAATATATGAGTCTCATCCAGACGATGCAAACCCGGAGAAAATGGTAGTAATATATGAGTCTCACTCCTTTCAGAAATGATACTAAAACATGGGTTAATTTATTTCAGCTCTTCCCAAATGAAACTATAGGATAATGGCAGCCTAACAGACCCCTGCTTCCACCTCTCATAACTACTTTAAGAGTGTGCCTGATTTTTTGAATGTATTCTAAGACATCAGCTAACCATATTTCTCCATGTAGTCTAGCCTAACTTAGACGAAACTCTGAGAATCTATCAAGCACATTATTTGCCAAATTATTTAGCATTTAAATGGACCTGAGATATACAATCCTCTTCTTTTACTAGTTTAAAAAATTAGAGGCCATAAATTTCAAGTTACTTGTCCAAGAGCACAGTAGTGACAAGAATAAGTTCAGAATATCAGTGTGCAGAATACTGCATGATGATATTCATAGCACATTATCAGCCTCTTCTTTTAAGAGTATATGATTTTTCCTAGGAAAAAACATATTTCAAAAATTATCAAAGAAGTTGTGCATCACAAATTCCAAATAACTGGTGCATTAACTCATGAAGTTTCTGGGTTCAGTATGCATTTCTTATTGAGGGAAAGAACCATAACTGACCTAACTATGCAGAATGCCAAGATTTGAGCACTCCCATCACACAGAGCTAGGGCAATAAACCAAAGCCTTACTGGCGATAAAGGTATAATTTAACACATTTTGAGAAGTAAAAAAATGTTTCTCAGCAATATAATTGTGAAAACACAATCATTTTAATACATTTATAGTATATTAAAATTAATTGCCCAATTTTGAATTTGTACATAATATTGGAATAACAGGGACAAAGCTTGAGGAAGCCTTTCCCTGGTGCAGGTAATAAAGGGGGTATATTTTCTGTGGAGAATTTAAAAACAGTGGCATCCAGTATCATTATGCACTGGGAAGTCTAAAACATGTAAAATATAAAATATTCCTCCTCCAAAATATCTTTTGTTGGTCTAAGTTCTAAACAATTATTGTTGAGTTTTAACAACTGAGCTTTTATTGACTTTTTCAAATTAGCAAATATTTATATTTAATTCTTTAATAAGTATTGTATTCTACCTGGAAATAAAATTGGACAATTCCAATTACACCATTAACCCCTCAATTATGTGGACTCAGCTACACTTGCCTATTTTGGGAGTAAGAACTCGTTTGTTTTTTTTCATTTCAATAATGACTGCACAATTATTCTTTATTATGACTCTACTACATAAATGCAAGAATTAGTATCTCAAAATTTTGTCAAAACTAATTCGAGCTTTTTTTAAACCATAATACATTTCAGATGATTTTCCAAATGTAATATTATTTATTTAATATTAAATTTTTTGGTAGAAAATTATTGGACTTCCTAGACTTTTCAGAGTTGCCAGAAATCAATGATCGGTTTTAACCAAGTCATTGACAAATTTGCAAAAGTAAAGGTCCAAAGCATGTACAGCATTATTAGATATTACTGTGATAAATCATGAATATGTTTTCCCTTTTCTTTCAAAAAGTACATTGATGTAATTAAAATATGCTATGACTTTTTTCCCTCTGTACAATTAGTTTCCTGTTGCTACTCTAAAATATTACCATCAACTTAGTGACTTAAACCAATATAAAATTTATTATCTCACAGTTCTATATGTCAGAAGTCCTAAAAGTGATGTCTCTGAAGGACTGTATTTCTTCTAAAGGTCACCTGGCATTTCTTGGCTCATGGCTTCTTCTTACATCTTCAATACCAAAAAATAATATCTACAAATCTCTCTCCTCTCTCTTCTTTCTCTTTCTCTCTCCCTCTCTCTACTTCTTTCACATCCCTGTCATAATCACATCGTAACTATGACTCAACCCTACACTCTCCCTTTTACAAGAGCTCTTGTGATTACATTGGACGCACCTGGTTAATCCAGGAAAATCTCCCCATCTCAAGATCCTTAACTTAATCGCATCTGCAAAGTATCTTTTGCTATGATACATATTCAAAGCATATGCTATATTCAAAGTATATTGCTATAAAGTAACATATTCAAAGGTTCTGGGGATTAAGACATGGACATCTCTGGGAAGCCATTATTCTGTCCACTACATGTACACATGTACTGTAATGTTTTATATATATATGTGTGTGTGTGTGTGTGTGTGTGTGTGTGTTTACTTACGGCACCATCATATACATATTCATACATGTTTGTATATATATAATCAAGAGTTTTATTATGGTTTTCTGGAAATTACAATTCATTATCTCATTTGATTATTTTGACTAAAAATGATTTGCCATATGAAAGAAGGGGGATGTTAAAAATAATCCTTAGTGTTAAATATTCTAGATATGTCATTGGTAAATAGTCTTCTATTTCTACCTTCTTTTAAGTAAAACAATTCTGATAATATTCATGAGAGCCATTTATGCCTCACTTATTTTCGTTAACTCTCTAAGTCAAATACTATATTTGTAAGCCACAAATTTAAAAAAGTAAATTGTTACAAAAACTTTAGTGTACTCATAAAACATTTTTTGAATTTAAGATTGAAAAGAGAAGGTTAGCTGGGTTATACTGTGTGTTTTTCAACACTGATACAGTAAAAATATCTACTGACCATTTTGATAGAAATTATTTTTTCCTATTTTTGACTTATCTATTCAGAAGAATATGTCCAAAATGATAACCTGCTTTTATACAATCAGAGAGGTAGCAGGATGCATTTGGTAAAAACAAAATTCCTAATGGCATACGTGGACACACTATTTTTCCCCTGTCTTACAGCAACTCAGATTAATGAACAAAGAACAAAGAGCTGACATATAACCTACCCATGGGAGTGCCAACGCCATAACCTTTAGAGTCTATAAGGCCGCCAATCTGTGTCAGGTTACAGTTCCGCTGGGTAACAAACTCGATGGTTGTTGACTCCATTAGGAAAGCATAATCAGAGGTGAGGACTCGCTGGATTCCTTCTTCATTACTTTTGACCAGCACTGACTGCCTTCTGCTACTCATAAAGGCCCACATTTTGTCATACGTGGAGATTTTTGATTTCTGAAGAAAATAAATATAAGTTGGTCACGAGAAAGTTATTCTTTAGTTTCCATGTGCTCCTATAATGCTTAGACACAATGAACTACATTTACTTTACTTGTACCATCTTAATATAATTTTTAAGGAATATATATATATATATATATACCAAAAAAGTCTGAATCTGTATAATGACTGTCTCATAGCAATTTCTCGTCATATTTCTAGGTATAGTATAGATTTATTTAACAAATATATTTTTAAAAATCTTCATGTTTAAAATCACATCCCAGTAAATCACTGAAAGCTATACATACAACAGAAAACAAATGATTTATAAGGAAGTTCTTTGTGCTTGTCTCTTACCTGAGTATTTCATATTTGTCAATATTTCTTTACAACAAACGTGGAAGAGAGAAATACTGCACTCAGATTGACACTGTAAGACTCCAAGAGTTTGTTTGTTTTCCCCCAACTTGGGTTAACGTAACACAGATGCTACATTAACCCCCAGGGATACACAAAAAATGTATGGGTTGAAGAGACGAGCAGAATGTGTTACAAATAAGGATGTTACAAATAAAGATGTCTACATTTCCACTGAGAAACAATTTGATCACCTCAGTACTTCTTTAAGCTGGACTTCAGAAATCTATTATTCAGGCCTACTAAATAACTAAAGATTCCTGGACCAATACAATTGAATAGTGTTTATATCCAACTGAAAATTCTCAGGAGGGCTTTACTAGAATTTTATTACTAAAAGAAGAAAATAGGTTTTGTTCAGAAGGCCCTGGTAAAACATAAACAGGAAAAACGTTAGCATCTGCTCCTTGAAAGTTCATCTGTGAAACCCTTATCATCATTTAATTATTATATTATACAAATACCAAAAATAATCCTGAAGTTACAAACACAGGAAGGATATTCATCATACTGCTTGTATTATCATAAAAAGTTAAAACTCTTTTCAAGCAAATAGATATGGAATATTTTTTACAGTTTAAGTGTGCTTTTATTTCTACATGTGCAAGGAAATAAATGTGATATTACTACTACTTCCACTACAAGGCAGGCCCACAATATTACAGAGAAAAATCCTGGCACTGTTTCAATGATAAAATGGAAATAAGTACCTTATGATTTACTAGGAAAAAGAAAAAGGTACAATGAGTGCTCTATAAAGACAAGGACAGAATCAGGGCTAAGACCGGGTAGAAATGCAAACCTTTGCTCCCCAGTGAAACACTGAACATGCCTGCCTCATCTTCCCAAAGTGCTAGGATTACAAGCATGAGCCACCATGCCTGGCCAAGATAATTATATTTTATAATAGTACACAAATCCATTCATTGTGAATATTTTACTGTAATCCATGTGATAAACACATCAAACATTTTTTTTTAATCACAACTGAAAACCAACCAACTTTAAGACATGTTGCTACTGTATCCTTTACAAATGTATATAGTTTCATGTTAAATTACTAAGAACTATCATATTATTTCACATTTGAAATATCTGATCTACAATACTAACAGTTAATTGGTGTAACAAGAATTTTACAAAACATAAACTCACTTAAAATTCTTGAAATACTTTCCAGCACTGATTTTTCATTTCTTTAAGCATTTCTATTATTTTAATGGCAAAATATATTTAGATAGAAAAGTCACCCAAACTGTTTTAGTTCTCATAATAAATATGAAAGCTCAGTTTAAGAAATATGATTATCTGCTGGTCACCTACCAGGAAATAGGTAACTTTAGAATACACCCTCACTCCACAAATGTCCAGAGATAGTCAGTTCTAGATCCCTTTCAAAGCCAAAATAAACATGGGTTTAAAAAAAGTAGAATTTATTGAAGGGATGTTTTAAAAACAGTTACATTGTTACAGCCTATCTCCGAATAGCATGATGACTCCCCCAACCCACTCAAGCAGGTACTAGAGGTTTTATTCTCTGGAGAGGAAGCAAGAGCATGCTGGACAGTTGAACCAGGGAAGACCATATTAAAACCAGAAGAAATAAGTTGAAATCCATAACCACTGTTGAGACCAGTCAGCCTTATGTCTGTCTTGATTCATATACTTCCTCCAGAAAGAATAATAGAATTTTTTTCAAGCAAAATAAATATTAATAGTAATAATAAAAGTTTACACATATATAAATTTTAGCATGTGCTAGATGCTATTCCAAATTATTTACAAATACTAAAATTTTTAATTTTTATAAAAATATGTAGGTATTTTTGTACCCCTTTTATAAACAAGAAAACCAAAACACAATGATGTTAATGATTTGCCTAAAATTATATGGCTACTTAGTGGCAAAACCAGGACTCAAACATGGGAAGATTTCCTACAAGTTTCATAATCTTAATCAGTGCACTACACCAACTCTATCTAAATATACATTTCATGGATTTTCTAACTAAATTACCCACTATATACCCCACAGTGAAACTCAGTTTTTCAGCTTTGAGTAAGCACCTAGAGTTTGCAGTGAGCCTTTTAAAATCTATTAAATATGATCAAACAGCCAAGGATAACCAGATACTTGAGGAGAGCCTCCAACTGAAAATATAAAGACTAAAGCAAACAGAATGGCATAAATGATCCTCAAAGTGGTAAGAAATATTTTACAAATGCAACAAAACAAAAACTCAAAATGCATTCTCTTGCATTTACAACATCAAGAACTCTCTAATATGAGAGAAAGCACTCAAGAGATGCTACCTTGGATATGAACTCGATGGGAGGGATAATTGAAGAAAGTATTCTTTGGCTGGGGCACCATGAGCTAAGGAACAGAGTGCTAGAAAATGATAGCAAAATAAATAAGGAGTAATGAAGGTGACCTGAAGCCTTCCCTCAGCTTTTTAAACTTTAGGCAGGCTCCTTCTGACCTCCAGGCCCCATCTTAAGCTCACTCAGTCCCTTATATGATTCAGATAGCCTAAGCATCAAGGTATTTTCCCTCCCCTCTCGTAGATAATTTACTGCCGAATTCTTGTAATTGTAAATTCTTTATTTGTCCCTTTTAAATGTAAATCTTTTTGAAAGGCTCTTGGCAGTTTTTCAACACCAGACTGTCTTTCTAAAGGGCCTGGACCCAACCCTTTGAAAGGTAATCATCAAGGAAGGAGGCATCTCTATCTTCCAGTCTCTGTGGAAAGGTAGAAACCTAACTTCAGACAGAGGGTCCCTTCTTCCAAGTTGTAAAACTACTTTCTGTGACGAAGATATGAGAAAGTTTATATTTCCCTTGGATAATCCCAATTAGCAAACACATATGGTCATAATCCCCCATACCCACCCAATTGTTGTTAAAAGCTCTTTCACCCTTAAAAACTCCCAAACCATCCTTTAAAACTCTCCAGAGTTTCAGCCCAGTTCAGAGATTGACTTCTGATCTCTCTCTTCCTTTTTGGAATAGAAAAGTCTTCCTTGTTGGTTTAACTTTTCCCAGTGCAACTTCTGCTTTCACAGAGCCAAGTTACTCTTTTATTTAAAATACGTGTATCACCATAGAATACTACACAGTCATAAAAAAGAACAAAATCATGTCCTTTACAGCAACATGGATGCAGCTGGATGGAGGCCATTATCCTAAGTGAATTAACACAGGAACAGAAAACCAAATATTGCACGTTCTCAGATATAAATGAGAGCTAAACATTGAGTATTCACGGACATAAAGATAGCAACAATAGACACGGGGGATTACCAAGGGAGGAAGATGATGGGGGCAACGGTTGAAAACATATTGCAGACTATGCTCACTACCTAGGTGACATGATCAACTGTACCTCAAACCTCAGCATCACATAATGTACCCATGTAACAAAACTGCACATGTATCTCCTGAATCTAAAATAAGTTGAAATTATTAAAAATTTTTAAAATAAAAATAAATAAGTAAAATATGTGTATTGAATTACTTTCATGTAATAGGCACAATTTTAGACACTGACCAGGGTCCAGGTTTCATAAATAGTTAACATGCAAGAACAAAATATGCCTTAATCATAGGAGCAGTGAGAAGTGAAGGCAATTATGAAGCAGATTGTCTATGGATGATGAAATCAGATTTGCATTTTGAAGAGATCACTAAGACTACAATGGATGTAAAAAGACCATTTAGAAGCACATAGCATCAGTCTAAGGAAACAGTACTTGGACTCTGGAAATGGTGTTGGAGATGGAAAGACATCCAGAAACTCAAAGGGGGTGTGTGTGTGTGTGTGTGTGTGTGTGTGTGTGTGTGTGTGTGTGTGTGTGTAATGCATAATACTTGGTAATTATTGAAATATAAAAAGAAGAGGTTTAGGTTGAACAAGTCCTTGGTTTCTGGTTTACACTTGAGCATTACTGACAGAGGAAAAAACTGAAAGAAGATCAAATTTTAGGGGAGAAAGATTATACCTAGTGAGTTGGGGACCCATGAGGAACATTCAAATGGATCTGTAATATGAAGTTAGACATTAAGTCTGGAGTTCAGAGGGGATATCAAAGCTAAAAATGTAGATTTTGAATGCCATATTAGATACAATTGACCAAGTCGTGGATAGATGTGGAAAAAGACAGGAGAGGAAGATAAGATGAGTCCTAGGATTAAGGCTTGTGGAATTTTGAATTTCACCAGCTGGCATAGGAGGCTGAAACGTAAAAAGAGTAAACAGAGAAGGAAGAAAATCTAAGTACTGCATAAATTAAGGCAAGAGAAAGTTGAGTGAGGAAGTGGTCCCTTGTAGTGATTTTGCTAGAAAACTACAAACAATGAAAACTGAATAATTTCCTTTGGATATGGCAACAGAGAGTTTCTTGGTTATTTTAGCAAGGGCTAATTGAGGGGAGTGAAGCTCTTAGAAGTCACATCAAAGTGGATTAAGAAAGGATTTGAGGAAAGTAAACTGGTAGCAGTAAGTGCCAAAAAGAAAAAAAAAATAAAATAAAAAGTACAACCCTGAAGATGAGCAGATCCAGAATAGCAGATAGAAGAATATTTTGGTTTAAGTAAGATTTTAAAAGATTGAAGAGATTTGAGCATGTTTAAATGCCAATGGCGGATGTTTCAAAAGAAAGGAGAGGTTTAAAATGTCAGAAAAAGAAAGAACAATCAATAATGCAAAGTTCCTTTGGCTAACATCTCCCCATTTCATCCCCTCAAACCCCTGGTAACTACTATTCTACTCCCTGCTTCTATGAGTTCAACTTGTTTTACATTCCATGTGTAAGTGAGATCATGCAGCATTTGTTTTTCTGTGCCTAGCTTATGTCATTTAACATAGTGACTACACATAATTATACTGCAAATTTATACTTGAAAGTTGCTAAGAGAATAGATCTTAAATATTCTCACCACATACACAAAAATACAGGATAATGGATATGTTAATTAAACTGATTATGATAACTTTATATATATGTATGTAGATACAGATAAGATACCAGGAAAGACGCAGGAATTGAGACTCAGCCTGGCTCTGTGCATAGCTGCTGTCAAATTTATTAGGAAAGACTCTCCAACACTGTAAATATATACAGTTTTTATTATTTTATTGAGGTCAACTGTACCTCAGTGAAGCTGAAAAAAAATAAGGCAATGTTCCTAATAAGGTGGGTCCTGAGTAGAATAAACGAGGATTTAGAACACTGCCATTGGCTTGACCTCTGGTTTGAAAATATTTATATTAAACACCCATGGGGTCATACTTCCACTGTAAAATATATTGTGTAAGGGGAAAATAAGAAGACTTAGCTAGATTTATTTTTAATAAAGCAAAAAGTTGTTGAACATTCTCAAAGTTAAATAGATTATAGGAACTTGAAACGTAAAAATCAATAAATGGGAGCTGTACAAGTTAAAGAAAAGGAATAAAAATGCACTTAGGATCAGTGATGAGGTAAAAATGAAATTAATCAAATATTTCTATGTTGAATATGAAAGTTGTATGCAAATTGACATAGAAGAAAGGAAATATAAAGTTGCAGTATAAACTAAAGATTATACGTGGAAAACAACCGGCATGTTGAAGGAGCCACCTGTAAATACATTTTGCTCCATCACCTGTAACAATGGCTAGTGTCTTTCAGTGAAGTAGATACTGATCATTGCCAAGGGACCTGATTAAAATCAAACATAAGGACTAAGCTGATCAGCCAAAATGTCCACAGTCTTTGAAGGTCCTCTGGCCACTGTGATGAGAGAAAGTGAAGACTGAGACAGAACACCAGGAAAGACTCAGGAATTGAGACACATCCTTGCCCTGTCCATAGCTGCTGCCAAATTTATTAGGAAATACTCTCCAAAAGAATGTAGTACCTAAGAGAAATATATAAAATAAAAGACAGGTAGTAAGCTAAGCACATCATAAAATAATTTTCTATTAGCAAATAATTGAGGTAACAACAAATTAGAGGATCATAAAGAGCTCACCTTGAGGGTAGCCAAGTAAAAGATAAGAAATAGTTAAAATATTTTTCTTTCCTACACAGTTGAGAGAACCAAAGCTCCTTGCCTTAAAAAAAAGTGAAAATAGATAAAATTCATGGCATCATGATTTTGCAAAAGAATTTTAATTACATAAAACATAAAAAGATTATAACTTACCTGACAAAAATAAAAAAAACGATTTCTTAATTATTATCCTTATAGTTATATTATACAGAGTAATTAGCCAGATAAAGCCAAGAGAATCAATTAAATAATGTCTCAGAGATATTGCATGAAATGCATATCTTAAAAAAAGCACTGTAAGAAAAATGCATTTTTAAGTTTTCGTAAATCATCTTATTTTCCCACTAAACTTATCCTATCTGCCACTAAAAATACTAGAATGTATTTCTATTTTATTCCTCCTTTCCTTAAAGAAACTTATTTTTCTATGTTATATTAGATGGATTTGGGATGTCAATGTTTAGCAATGTTTATTTTATAAAAATGCCGAGGCTTGTAAGCCGATTTGTTTTTTTCTACATCAGCACAAACCAATAAAATCAGTTCAGAAGACACTATCTGCTTATAATAGCAGTTTTCATGGATTGTGAAACATCAACAAAATAATGTATTTTTGTCAAAAATAAACTTTAAAGGAATAAGAAATACACCCCCTTTTAAAATTCACAATTGCCAAATGATTTTGTGTATTAAAAAGAGCATACAATGTAAATATTTAAAATATTTTAAACACACATCTAACAATTTAAAACTTATAGACATTTTAGTTTAGTTTCTGCTAGAACACTAAATAAAGTTTGCAACCTGGAAATTATTTGGCTCTTTGCAAGTCTCAAATGACTAACAAATTTTAGGGTAAATTTCTTTTCTGAATGTTTTAGTGAACTGGTAAAATATCAGTGTAAGAATAGTGCTTTGCAATTTTGTTTTAAATTTCTTCGAAAATATTATGAAAAGCTAATAAGGTAAGGTTTACTCTTGAACCACTTGCATAGATCTTCTTTTCTTTTACTGGGAGCAACATATTTGACAAATATAAAGGTATCTTCTTTTTAAAGATATCTTAGGTACACAAATGGATTCCTCACCTTTGTTCATTTTGTTTGCTGTCAAAAATAAATTAAAATTTAGAAACCATCTTATGCTCATTGAACTTGCTTTTATGAACCTGACTGTCTAAAAGTGATAAGAAAATAACATTATCAATATTTGTGTAACCTCCTAAAGCAAGGATTTAGAATTAACTTTTTAAGTATGTTCTACAGGAAAGGTTTCTCCATGAATGAAATTTAAAACCTTTAACATTAATTTTGTTTTAAATGTCATAACAACAACACATCCACCATGCAAAGAAAATTGAATACTATATTGTAATATGTTTTGTTATACATAATATTAGAAATGTTGACTTCAGCTCAGACACCTTAAAAAGTTAATCAGGTGGTACAACACCCAAAATATCTTGAAGTAATCTGAAAAAGACTTTATTGTTAACAAATTCTATTTCTCTTGAATTAATAAACAGACATTTATAAATAAAAGTTTTACCTCCTAAATAATCTGGCAGAATTAGTTTAACATTGGTGTATAGATTAATACAGTAAAATTGCTAAAAGCAAACTAATTTCTGACTTTTTAAAATTAACAATGTAAATTTTGTGGTATTTGGTACTAACTCAAATTATTCTTTTTCAATAAATTTTACATGACCAATTTTGTTTATAATGCTAACTTAAATATTTGGCTATAGTGCTATAATAATAATTCTTATTTTGTTATGAAAAAGTTACATGTAATAAGCCCTAATGCTCATAGCAAGGTCTCCCTTGGTAAAAGAGATTCTGGCTGAGATTTCCATTTTAATTTTTTATTACAGAAATAAATTACCAACAATACTGGAACATATGTGCTAGGTAAGAACAGCTGAGCCCTATCTGGACTCATCTGACCTTGGTCACTAGGAAATTAGAGTTAATTCAGGGAAACAAGACTGAAGCCATATGTGGTTCATATCAAAGGTGGATCTGAGTCCAGTGCAGTGATCTGAAAAGCATTCAGTTGTTAGTAAACCTGTCAGCCTTGGGATAATTCTGGCAGTGTTATCTCAAGGCATCTGTAATCTCTTAAAACAGGATATTTGAAGGGAAGGACAATGAAACAGAGAGAATTGCTCTTCTCAGTGTTAGTGTGAGTTAATAGAGGAATAAAAGAAATCAGAGTGACTAAGCATAATAGGATAGGCAGCAAGTTTAGTATCATTTGGTGCAGTTAAAGACAGTTATCCTTTTTAGGTAGTTGAAACAGCATTTGATAGTTCATTGTGTACCATTCCAAGTATCTCATAATGAAGGTTCATTGCATATTATCTTTTAAATGAGATGTCTTCAACTTTCCTGATCAAATATTTTCTTTTCTTATAAATAATAGCCATCAAGAATATATTTTACTGTCATGTGGACAAACTGAAATACAATTAAGAAACTTTACCACACTGGGTCAATGAAGGACCTTGGATAAGCCATAATTTCTTTTCCCTACCTAATGTAATAAAAAGCTTCTTTAACAATATCGTGGAAGTATTGTGATAAATAAATGAGAAAACTCATCTAAAGCCATTTTGACAGTCCATAAAGCTCTGTAAAGATAATCAGAATTTATTCTCGTTGCTTGTTTTACATAATCAATCAAAAGAGAAACACAGTACTTGTACATGAGATGACTGTAGCATATACCTACTGTCTTCATATATATATATATATATATATATATATATATATATATATATATGTAAGTGTATATGTATATGCCTTTACCATTAAAATAATTCTTAATTTTTTAAGGATAAGGAAACTTGTTTTCCCCTCTATTGTTATTTAATCACCCTAGTAAGCAAGAATAGAAAAAGCACCCTGAGCTTTTGCTGAGGTAGGAGCTTTAACCAACATGGCCCTTAACGCCAGGCCTTTTCAGGTGAGGAGACTTAGAGGCACAAAAGTTTTAGTTTAAAACTCAACTTATTCTATTTAATAATTCACTAGATTATTCATTCAATCATTTGATCTATCATTCTAATATATATTGACCACCAGCTTGGTATAAATAACCATGCCACGCACTGTGTGTGCGTAGATTTACCAAAAACAAAACATGACCCCTGTCCTGGCAAAGCTTAAAGTCTTATAATGCATTACAAGTACACTGAGAATTAAAACATATCACAATATGAGTATGTATAAAGTAGTTGATGATTATATTAATCATTAATTTACAGCACATTTTAATTAGGGGTACAATTTAATAGAGGGTCTTTGACTATGCTGTTTTCTCTAGCTGGAATGCATTTTCCCTGCATATCCATGTGCCTCGCTTCTCCACTTCCTCTTGATGTTTGCTGATACATTCCTTTTTCCAGAGAATTTCTAATATTTACCCTATTTAAAATTAAAACCCTCGACTCACCATATATATACCTTATCCTCCGTCTATTTTATTTGTATTCATACCTCTTAATGACTAGGTAGTATATTATGTATTTCCTCTTTATACTTATTTATCTGTTCAATTTCTCTCTCTTCCTACTAGAAGAAAACCTCCATTAATGCAAGGATTTTCCCCTATCCTTATAGCTCTTGTATCTGGAACAGTGTCTAGTATATCATAGATATCAATAGATACTTATTGAATAAATTAGAAAAAAATGGATAAATGAATGACTAGATGCATACAATGAAATTATTCCTATCATGCTGGAGTTTAGAAGACAGGCATATTACTTTCAGCTCTAACATTACAAAGCTAAATGATCTGTAGTGAGTAAGTTTATCTCTCTAGAAGTCAATTTGTTCAATTGTGGAATAAACGGATTAGACTATATAAATTCCAAGATATTTTTCAGTGGAGATGGTCTATATATCCATTAATATTTATTTATTTTTGTTTTTTATTTTTATTTATAAATAATATATATATATATCATGGCACATGTGATAATTTAATACAGTCATATAATTTGTAATGATCAAATCAGTTTAATTAAGAATAACTAGACTTGTACTTATTTTTCTCATATTCTGTTCATGGCTTCATTCAATAAGAAAAATATATGTATATATACCTGACCCAGCTTTAAAGCAAAATAGAAGGATAGCCACATTATTGCTCTACATAAATAATTTTAAATTCTATTTAATTTTGAGTACAGCTTTAATACATTAATGAAAAATGTATTTCACACTCCACATACATCAAGAATGGGAAATGTATCCTTGTTTCTTTCCTACTTCTAAATCACACATTCCACACTCCTCTTGAAAGGAAGCGAAGGTACAAAACCCTGTTCTTTTAAGGTTCGAACCATTCAATATTACTACCTGATTTATTTTACTACAGTCTTCTATTCATTTCCTGGATACAGATGTTTGCTTCTCCTCAGTGATGAACTAGTAAATGTTTAACAGTTGTCTCTCTGGAAAAGGGAGACTTGCCCTGATTTGTAGTGTTTGCCAATTTTTATTTGCTTTATTTTTACTTGTGGTACTTGCTGATTTTATATCCACTATTAATGATTTCAAGCTACAGGTATTATGTCAGCCAAATCATAAAATTTCTGTAAATTTATTTCCTGAAAGTCAGTACAAGTCATTTCCAGCCTACCTCTGTTTCTCTTTCACCAGCTTGAAACTGACAAGTCACTCAGAGTCCTTCACACAGAGTGCCCTTCACACAGGACTCAGAGTGACTTGTCAGTCATTCAAAATCATTACCAACACTTTTTTTAGTGCTTCAGCCAATCATGGTCACATAACACTATTTTCAACACCTGAATTTACTTTACTTTCAAAATGAATTACTCAACTTTCCTGCTCTATGATTTTAGACTCTTTTTTCTCCCCACTTTGTTTATTCAGTTTCTTTACCGGTAATATTTTCCAATCCCACTGGAGCCTCATGCGCATTAAAGACCTACAGTCTTACAATTCATTAGATTTTTCTCCTTTTTTATATTATACCATGTTCAGATGATTTTTCCATGATATAAATCTCAATATTACTTTTGCCAATATCTTAAACTCACTAAACTCTCTCTTTCCTTTGAACTGTTTAACCCAACCCCAGCCCTGGAGTAACTCAACTATCAATGTCTTCTGAATCTGAAGCAGCACAGCATTGCTGGAAAAAGTGGTACTAACAAGAGTGAAACTGAAGCACATGTTCAACCCTGCCCAGAAAGCTTAGTATCTCTTTCAACTTATTCTCTACAACGTCAATTTCAAATTGCTCCTTTCCTGACACTCAAAACTTTCTGTGGACTCAACTCACTTTTAGTAGTTGACCTGGGTTTTACTTTACAGAGAAAAATAAAACCATTTATGGAAACACACTCAAAAATCAATCCAAAACCTTCTTATGTCAAAGACCATCTGTCAAAATCTCTCCTCTTCTCCTTCTGTTTGTTACCCTACAAGCCACAGCGAATCCTTCATTTTCTGCTTTAAATTCCATCACATTCTTACATTACTTACAGGAATCTTATATAATTATTTCTTTCTTTTTTTACCCCTCCCTTTTTACTGACAACATTTAAACATGTTCAAGCCTTTCAGGTCTTATTTTTCTTTCCTCTAGTTAACATACTTTCCACAGTAGTTGCCATACTTTCTCTCTTCCCTTCACAACAGAATTAATCAAAGAATTTTATTCATAATTTCATTCCCTTATTTTCTAATTAGCCCACTAGATTCCTTAGTGAAATAAATCTGAGAAAATATGCCAATGATCACCATATATTTTAAATTTAAATTAATTTTTTTGGACACAGGTTACTTGGCCACTCTCCAGTATGCCATTCTCTTAACCACTCCTGCATTCTTGCAACACTCTAACAACTTCTCACATCCACCACTGTCCTTTTCAATCTGTTCACTACACTGAGACAGGATGATTTTCCTAAATCTCAATCTTGATCATATCAACTCTTACTTTATTAACTCACTTATAAAGCTCTGTTACTCTTAAGATAGAAAACATGGCTCTCTATTATGCTAAAGATTAAAAAAGAAAATAATAACTGATGCCAAAGCTCTAGCAGGCACAGCTAGTTTTCTACCCATTTGCTCTATAAATATTTGAAGAAATGAATGAAGTGACTGAATCAAGTGATGAAGGTACAATGGCAATGGAACACTAGATTATAAAAAATATAATATTGAAGATGTATCTTCAGAAAAAAAATCAATAATACATCTTTCTTAATTCTGACAGTATGAACTTTGCATAAAGTTATTATAGAATAGCTGAAGGAAACATTCAAATTAATCATGAAAATGTATCCAATTTCTTTTGCATTAAGATAAGTTTGTTTGTTTGTTTTTAGAGACATGCCGTCACTCTGCCACACGGGCTGGAATGCAGTGGCACAATCATGGCTTACTCACATTTGGATTACCAAAATGTAAGGTACAATAGTATGCAAAAGTAACTAGGAAACCAGGCTCTCAAAGTATAGTCACAGAAAATGTATGTGTGTACCTGTGAGTGTATGTCTGTATTTAGCCAATTTTATCAAATTTTAGAATAAGAAATAACTACTTCACTGAGAAATGACTCATGGTTTTAATTCATTAACAACTGTGTATGGAGTTTTTTTTTCATGATTTATGGACTCTGTTTTGAAATACTACACAGTTATATGTATATAAGTTACTTGTTAAATTTTTATATATAAATATATGTTGTGTGTGTGTGTGTGTGTGTGTATGTGTGTGTTATATAGACAGACTCATTTAAAAGGAAAGAAAAAGAATGAATTTTAGGAACCAAGAGAACTATGCTTCATAGAGCCAGTGAAGTTTAAAAATAATATAAATTATTTATATTAATATCTAAATCTACCCTTCTAAAAATAAAATTTTTGCATATTTATATCCATAGTTTTTTTTTTTTCCGAATGTATCAGCATCCTGGCCACGTTGTGTTTGAAACAAGTGAAGAAAGGTCTACGCTACTATTTAAAACAAAAGTGACACCCGCTCACAAAACTAACATTTTAAAATTCAAAATTCATTCTAGACTGGGTGAAGTTTCAAGGACACTTTAAAGAAATCATAATTATAATTCAACCTTCTTAATACATAAGCAGGGTAGCTCAGCTGTGACTAAAAATGTATGAGAATTAGATATGGATGAATTTAGTTAAATAAAAGAAACATCACCTGAAAATATGGTGCAAACTGAAAACTGAATATAATATACGAGTCTGAAAAAATACTAATAAGCCTCTAAAAGAACAAACAGTAAAACTCTAGGACATTACCTCTATTATTATTAATGGGTTTTAATATTTTACTTCAAATATTAATTAGCAAACTACTACCTGAAAGCTATTGAATAGCATTAGTGAAAACAGTATTAAATATAAAAATTATCTGAAATAAAACTAAAGTTCAGTCAACATAATGTAGATGATTTATTTGTAATATATTTACATAATTATCTTGTAAAGAATATTATTTTAACTGTCTATTATCAGATAAACTAAAAATAAAGGAACTAGTTTACCCTCAGTTTTCTATGAAATAAAAATTCAGTACTCACATTTATTTCATTTCCTTATAAGGATTTTATAAAAACAAAGATTTATTTACTCTGACACTTAATAACTAGGGAATCAATGCCAGTAATAACAACATCTTAGACTGTAATACAATAGTATTTGAACTTTTACTTTAACTATTTGTCTTTATCATTCAGATTTTCTATCCTTCCTGAGAAAGCTAACATAAAATGTGAAATTTTTCATAAAAAGCATTATCATTTTCATTAGAATGTTTCTTACCATCTTTACTTCCCATATGAGTGTTGTGACCATGTCTAGGAAGCACATAGTTTTCTATAGAATGAAAATTTAAAACAACTTCTTTTTATATGAATATTCTCAAATATGTACATATAAATTGCTGTTCCATTTTTAAAATAGTCACTTTATTTTAAATTTGCTTGAATGTTTCAAGTTCCTCTTTTGAAATTGCCTTCAGATGTTATATTGTTCCTTCGGAATATCCTTATTAATAACAATTCTCACATTAGGATAGTCTTTCTTTTTGAAAAATGTCACGGTATTTTAAGTAAAATAATGCATAAGTTATATACTATTTTTGTAATTGTTCTAAAAGCAGGAATAGCTATTGACAAATATTCTCTGATCAAACTTTCCCAAGGCTTTCGAACCTTCACCTAGGCACATCTATGAACTTCTTTATAAAATCCAGTTTTAGCAAAGAACCCTGTTAAGTCAGTTTAGCAAGAAGCTCCCATTCTTAATGTCCAATGACCCAAAATAGCTCACTGGGTTCCTCATTCTTCATCATCCGGCAAGGGATGTCTGATCACCTTGGCCTGTCTTCAGCAGAATCTTCTTAGGATGGTTTAGCTAGAATCTCCTTACCCTGATGTTTCCTTTTACTAATTTTTCACCTACTGAGCCTCACTCTGCTCCATGGCTATAAATTTCTACTTGCCCATGATGTATTCTGAGTTGATCCCAATATCTCTTCCCTACTACAATATCCCATTGCAGTGAACCCTAAAGCTATAGCAAAGGTCCTGAAGAAAGTCTTCCATACAATGTTTTAACATGTATCACTGATTTTTTTTTCTTTAACACTATAAATAAAGCAACTAATTCTTATGTCATAAGCAAGGGTATTCTAAAAACAATTTCAGAATGAAAGGTCTAAGAGTTTTCTTAGCAATCATATCAAAGACAGGACCCTGAGATACTTACTCTGTGGAATGTCATTTACTTCCTGTAAGGACTCTACATTATTTCTACACAATATAGTCTTTTTAACCTAAAGAGGACTTTTTTAACTAAACATCTTTATTTATATAGCAGAAAACAATATTTTTAAAAATGCTGCATCTGTCTGAAATGTTTTTAGCAACTGTATGGGTAATATGATGATAAATTTGACATTTCAATTGATGCGCAAAGAAATCATGAGCATAATACACTAAGTAAATATGAAATAGACAACCATTAGACATTTCATAGTAGGAGATCTAGAAGCAGTTAGATGGTTAATTTAAAAAGGGATATATAAAGATGATTTTAAAAGATTAAGAGTAGATATGTCAAGGATGATTTGTTAGAAGAGAGCAATGCTCTTGCTGTGATTCCCAATATTCCTTTGCCTTGGTTGGTATGTGTGTAAAAGTAAAGCTCATAATCCTAAACTGGTTGAAAAGTGATAAACTGAAAAGACTGACACAAATCTCATGTATAGATTGACACAAAGAAAGCTTGTACCTCATACAGTTAGGAAAGCTGAAGAGTAAATGCCCACCTGTGAAAAACAACTGCACTCCTTTCATTCCTTTCTGGAAAGGCAGAGAGGTGTTTGAACACTCAGGATAAAATGTGAGCATCTGAGTAAGAATGTTAGTCTGGGGCCATTGTGATAGTAAATTTTCCCAAAAGAGCAGTTGCAGTAGGAAGAGGAAGTGCATTTTACAGTTAGCATAATTTCAGTATTTGCTGAGGTAAATGTCACAGCTACTTCACCAGAGCATTTCTGTTGATTCTAAAAAGGCTGCAGATGTCCAGGAATGCTGCCTTTGCTATGAGGATTTTCCTGTAACACCATCCATCTAAAAGATACCATGTTAAGAAGGTATCAAACCAGATGTTAAAGACTAGTTTTGAGATGGCAGTTTGACTGACTCTAGCCTTAAATTTCAGCTGATGCATCATTTTGACTTGATAAAAGTAAGCAGAACTGCTAGCATAACCAACTGATTTGCCAGAGCAAATGCTACTAACAAAAATCTATTTAAATAAAGCCAAGTCAAATTTTATCTATTTTTAAAAGTTTATATAGCCAACTGAAAACACAATACAAAACTATTATTTCAAACCCCTTCGCAGAAAAAAATAATTTAAAAATTTATTTTAAACAAAAGAAAATGACATGTCTCAGAATATTTTGTGTTGCTTACTTTTAGAAAACAAGCTGCATTCTTACTACAATCATTAAACATTAAGATTTAATTGGTCTTTCCTAGCAACAGTGCCATTTTTAAAAATACTGCTTCCAGCCCAGCATTTAAGGAGCTCAAAAGTCTTTATTATGTCTTACCAAGTAAAAAGGTAAACAAATTGAAGAGTCAACAATGCTTCTTAGATTTTTTAGAGAAGAGATGTCACAGGGCAAACTGCTGTCCCCAACATTAGAGAGCCAGATAGGTGGATATAGAGAACCACAAATTACTGAAGCAGATATCCATGAGTAGAAACCTCAATGGGGACAAGTAACACTGAGGTGGAAAATCCTAAGCTGATAATTAATTGATGAATTGCTGGGTGCCAGAAGTGGGGGGAAACTAAAAGATAAACTCTAGGGGAACCCAGTCATGGTGCAGGACCTATTTTGAAATACTTCACCATATATTTACTGTCCTTTTTAACAAGGCCAGTCCTCAGGAGAAATTCTTTTACCAGAGCCTAAATTGCTGGTGTTATATCAGAGCCTAACATATTTGGCGAGAAGGAAAATACTCAACTCAAGCTCTGTCTATTCTTCCATGGAGTAGAAGGGAAATACACAATTCCAGTTCCTTCCAGTCATTCTGCCTCACCTGAAACAGAGGAGGGATCTGCGAGATTGTAGACCAGAAGCAGAAGCTCACCAAAAGCCTGAGATCTAATAATAGGACTGGAAAAAAGTTACCCTCCCCTTATATCTTCCCACTACATTATTAATAGCCTATTTACTACAGTTACATTTAGTACCTCATGTCTGCCTTCCAACAGAAAGTTACAAGGCATACTAGAATGCAAAAACACAAGTTTGAAGAGACTGAACAATTGTCAGAACAAGAGTCAGATATGGCAGTAAGTTTGGAATTATCCGGCCAAGAACGCCTAAAAACTATGATTATTTTTCTATGGCCTTTAATGGAAAAAGTAAATAACAAGCAAAAAGAGATTGACAATGTAAGCAGAGGGATAGAAATTCTAATAAAGAAATGCTAGAGATCAAAGGCATTGTAAAGAAATGAATAATGAGACTTTCATGGTTTTAGTAGTAGACGGGACACACCTGAGGAAAGAATCTCTGAACTTGAGAATACAACAATGGAAAATTCTCAAACTGAAAAATAAAGAGAGAAATATACTGAAAATAATATCAGAACAAAATATCTAAGAACTGTGGGAAAACTATAAAATATATAATATACACAGAATAAGAATAGCAAAAGGAGAAGAAAGACAGAAAGGGGCAGAAAAAGTGTATGAGGCAATAATGCCTGGGCATTGTCCTCAAGTTAATGTCAGATATCAAACTACATATCCAGAAAGTACAGAGAACACAAAGCAGGACAGATAACAAACCAAACCAAACAAAAAAACTATACCTAGGAATATCATATGCAATTGATATGGTTTGGCTTTATGTCCCCACTCAAGTCTCATCTGGAATTGTAATCACAAGATGTCAAGGGAGGAACCTGGTGGGGAGGTGATGGGATCATAAGGACAGTTTCCACCATGCTGTTCTCATGACAGTGAGTGAGTTCTCACAAAACCTGATGGTTTTAAAAGTGTTTGGCAGTTCCCCCTTCACTCTCTCCATCTCCTGCCACCTTGCTTGTGTGGTGGTTTTATTGTCATCATGTTTTCAGTTGTTTATTATGCCAACTTGTTTGTGTGGTCTAAATATACAAGTGTGTTTTGTAGTGACTAGCAATTGTCTTTCCTTTCCATATTTAGTGCTTCTTTCGGGAACTCTTGTAAGGCAGGTCTAGAGGTAATGAATTCCCTCAGAACTTGCTTGTCTGGAAAGGATCTTATTTTTCCTTTGCTTACGAAGCTTAGATTAGCTGGATATGGAACTCTTGGTTGGGAGTTCTTTTCTTTAAGAATGTTGAATATGAGGCCCCAATCTCTTCTGGCTCATAGAGTTTCTGCTGAGGTGTCCACTGCTAATCTAATGGGCTTCCCTTTGTAGGTTACCTGTCCTTTCTCTATAGCTGCTTTTAACATTTATTTTTTCATTTTGACCTTGGAGAATCTGATGATGATGTGTCTTGAGTATAATCTTCTTGTGAAATATTTTGTGGGAGTTCTCTGCATTTCCTGAATTTGATTGTTGGCCTCTTGAGCTAGATCAGGGAAGTTCTCATGGATCATATCTTGAAATATATTTTCCAAGTTGCTTTTATTCTCCCCGTCTCTTTGAGGGACACCATTGAGTTGTAGATTCAGTCTCCTTATCTAATCCCATATTTTTTGGAGGTTTTGTTTGGCCCTTTTCATTTTTTTTTAAATTTTTTTTGAATTTTTTTATTTATTTTTTTTGTATTATTATTATTATACTTTAAGTTTTAGGGTACATGTGCACAATGTGCAGGTTAGTTACATATGTATACATGTGACATGGTTCATTCTTTTTTTAAAATTCTTTTCTGACTCTCCTATTTCAGAAAAACAGTCTTCAAGCTCTGAGATTCTTTCCTCAGCATGGTCTATTCTGGTGTTAATACTTGCAAATGCAATATAAAATTATTATAGTGTGTTTTTCAGCTTTATCAGATTGGTTATATTCTTTTTCTATACTGGCTATTTTATCTGTCCGCATCTATAATGTTGACTTTGCTTCTTTATATTCGGTTTCAATGTTTACCTGAACCTTGATGATCTTCATTCCTGTTCACTCTCTGAATTCTATTTCTGTCATTTCAGCAATCTCAGCCCAGTTAAGAATCCTTGTTGGACAACTAGTGCAGTCATTTGGAGGAAACACACTCTAGTTTTTTGAGTTGTCAGAGTTCTTGTGCTGTTTTTTTCTCATCTTTGTGGGCTGATGTTCCTTCAGTAGTTAAAGTTGCTGCCCTTTGGATTTTTTTTCTTTTATCCTATTTGATGACCTTGGGGGTTTGATTGTGATATAAGGTGGGTTCAGTCAACTGGCTTCATTACTGGAAGATTTAAGGGTGCCAAGGCTCAGATCAGGACTCCTGGACTGGATTTTCTAAATCTGATTGGGGAGCCATTGATATTAGGTTATAGCTTTGATTTCTGGTTCCTCAAGGTTAGGGACCTGCTGTGCTGGAGGCGGTGAAGTGCTCCTGGACCACTGGTCACAACACTCTGAAGGGTGGTGCCAGCCAAAGCACTTTGCAGGGCAGTGGCAGTGGGATCCATACTCATTTGCATGTGCCAGAAGCAGTAGCAGCAGCAGCACGGTGGAGTACATGCATTTAGCTGCTGTGGGGTGCTAGTGGGTGCCAGGGTGCTGGCCTCTGTACAGGTGTTGGCCGCAGCAACAGTGGCAGTATGATCTGGGGGGCAAAGGACCTGATAGCAACTGTTTGCACATCTGTACTCGTAGCAGTGTTAGCAGTAGGGCAGGGCTCTGGTGTAGGACTGTGTGTGTCCACACATATCAATACTAACCTTGAATGTAAATGGGCTAAATGCCTTTAGTTAAAAGGCACAGAGTGGCAAGTGGGTAAAGAAGCAAGATCCAATGGTATGCTGTCTTCAGGAAACCCATTTCACATGCAATCACAGTAACTGGCTCAAAATAAAGGGATGGAGAAAAATCTACCAAGCAAGAGAAACAAAGAAAAATGCAGGGGTTATAATTCTAATTTCAAACAAAACAGACGTTAAATCAACAAAGATAAAAAAAAAAGAAGGGCATTAAATAATAGTAAAGGGTTCAATTAAACAAGAAGAACTAACTATAATAAATATACATGCACCCAACATAGGAGCACCCAGATTCCTAAATCAAGTTTTTGGAGACATTCAAAGAGACTTAGATTCCCACAAAATAATAGTGGGAAACTTCAACACCTCACTGATAGCATTAGACAGATCATTGAGTCAGAAAATTAACAAAGATATTCAGGACTTGAAAGATATTCAGCAGTTGACCAAATGGATCTGATAGACATCTAAAGAACTCTCCACCCCAAAACAACAGAATATACATTCTTCTCTTCTACACTTGTCATATACTCTAAAATCAACTACATAATCAGATATAAAACAATCCTCAGCAAATGCAAAAGAACCCCCTGTCATACCAACCACTCTCAGGGACCACAGCACAATAAAATAGAATTCAAGACTAAGAAAATTGCTCAAAACCATACAATTAGATGGAAATGAAACAACATGCTCCTGAATGACTTTGCAGTAAATAATGAAACTAAGGCAGAAATCAAGAAGTTCTTTGAAATGAATGAGAACAAAGATATAACATGCCAGAATTTCTGGGACACAGAATTTCTGGGACACATTTATAGCACTAAATGCCCACATCAAAATGTTAGAAAGAACTCAATTTAACAACCTAACATCACAATTAAAAGAACTAGAGAAGCAAGAACAAACCAAGCACAAAAGCTAGGAAAAGACAAGAAATAACCGAAATCAGACCTGCACTGAAAGAAACTGAGATATGAAAACCTATTCAAAAGATCAGTGAAGGCAGGAGTGGGTTTTTTGAAAAAAAAATTAATACATAGACCACTAGCTAGACTAATAAAGAAGAAGGAGAGATGATCCAAATAGCCACAATGAGAAATAATGAAGGGATTATTACCACTGACCCCACAGGAATACAAATAACCATCAAAGACTATTATGAACACCTCCTTGCACACACATGTGAAAATCTAGAAGAAATTGGTAAATTAATGAATAAATTACTGGACACATACAACCTCCAAAAACTAAACCAGGAATAAATTAATTCCCTGAAAAGAACAATAATGAACTCCAAAATTTAATCAGTAATAAGTAGCCTGTCAACCAAAAAACAAGCCCAGGACCAGAGAGAATCATAACCAAATTCTACTAGATGTACAAAGAAGAGCTGGTGCCATTCCTACTGAAACTATTTCAAAAAATTGAGGAGGAAGCGCTCCTCCCTACCTTATTCTATGAGGCTGACATCATTCTGATACCAAAACCTGGCAGAGGTACAACAAAAAAAAGAAAACTTTAGGACAATATCCTTGATGAACACTGATGCAAAATCCTCAACAAAATACTAGTAAATTGAATCTAGCAGCACATCAAAAACAAATCCACCACAATCAAGTAGGCATTTTCCCTGGGATTCAAGGTTGGTTCAGCATACACAAATCAACTAATGTGATTCATCATATAAAAATAACTAAAGACAAAACCACATGATTATCTTAATAGATGCAGAAAAGGCTTCAATAATATTCAACATCTTTTCATGTTAAAAACTCTCAACAAATTAGATATTGAAGCAACATACCTTAAAATAATAAGAGCTATCTAACAAACCCACAGCCAACATCATACTAAATAGGAAAAAGCTGGAAGCATTCCCCTTGAAAACTGGCTCAAGGCAAGGACGCCCTCTCTCACCACTCCTATTCAAAATAGTATTGAAAGTCGTGACAAGAGCAATGTGGCATGAGAAAAAAATAAACGACACCCAAGTAGAAAGAGAGGGATTAAAAGTATCCCTGTTTGTAGATGACATGATTCTATATCTAGAAAGCTCTGCATTCTCAGCCCAAAAGCTCAATAAGTTGGTAAACAACCTCAGCAAGGTTTCAGTTACAAAAACAACATATGAAAATAACTAGCATTCCTATACACAAGCAACAGCCAAGGTAAGAACCAGATTAGGAATGCAATCCCATTCACAACTGCCACAAAAGGAATAAAATATTTAGAAATACAGCAAATCAGGGAGGTAAAAGATCTTTACCGTGAGAATTTCAAAACACTCCTCAAAGAAATCAAAGATGACACAAACAAATAAAGAAACATTCTATACTCATAGATAGGAAAAATCAATATCATTAAAGTGGCTATAATGCCCAGAGCAATTTACAGATTCATGCTCTTCTGATCAAGCTACTAATAACATTCTTCACAGAACTAGAAAAAAACAAAATTTAAAATTCACATGGAACCAAAAAGAGCTTGAATAGTCAAGGCACTCCTAAGCAAAAAGAGCAAAGCTAGAGGTATTACATTACTGACTTCAAACTATACTACAAGGCTACAGTAACCAAAACAGGGTGGTACTGGTACACAAACAGACACATAGACCAATGGAACAGAACAGAGAATCCAGAAATAAGGCCACATACCTACAACCCCCTCTTGGAACCAATAAACAATTAGAACAAGGTTTTAGGATTCAAAGTTAATATACAAATGATAGTTACTTTCCTATATAGCAGCAAATGTAATTTGAAATTAAAAACAAACACATTACTATTTGCATTAGGACCCTCCAAAATGAAATACTTAGGTATAAATCTCACAAAATATGCACAAGGTCTATTTGAGAAAAAGTATAATACTCTGATGAATGATTTCAAAAAAAAGAATCAAATAAATGGGGAGACATTCATGTTCATGGATAGGAAGACTCAATATTGTGAAGGTGTCAGTTTTTTTCAACTTTATCTATAAAGTCAACACAATTCTAACCAAAATCTTAGCAAATTATTATATGCATTGTGGCAAACTGATCCTAAAGTTTATATGGAGAGGCAAAAGGCCCATAATACTCAATTCAAATAAAAAAAGGGAAGAACAAAGTAAGAGGGCTGACACTACCCAGTGTCAACACTTACTGTAAAGTTACAGTGATCAACATAGTGTGGTATTGGTGAAAAAATAGATAAGTTGATCAATAGAACAAAATAAATAGACCAGAAGTATGCCAACATAAATATAGTCACCTAATCTTTGACGGAGGAAAAAAGGCAATACAAAGGAGCAAATAGTGCTAGAAAAACTTTAAAAAAAGAAAAATGAATCTAGACACAGACCTTACACGTTTCACAAAAAATAATACAAAATGGATCATAGAGTGAAATATAAAATACTAACCTATACAAATTATAGAAGATAGCAATGGAGAAAATCTAGGTAACTTTGGGTATGGGGATGACTTTTTAGATATAACACCAAAAGCATTATCCATAAAAGAAATAACTTGGGCCTGGCGTGGTGGCTCACGCCTGTTAATCCCAGCCCTTTGGGAGGCCAAGGCGGGTGGATCACGAGGTCAGGAGATTGAGACCATCCTGGCTAACATGGTGAAACCCCGTCTCTAGTAAAAATACAAAAAAAATTAGCCGGGCGTGGTGGCAGGTGCCTGCAGTCCCAGCTACTCGGAGAGGCTGAGGCAGGAGAATGGCGTGAACCCAGGAGGCGGAGCATACAGTGAGCCGAGATCGCGCCACTGCACTCCAACCTGGGTGACAGAGTGAGACTCTGCCTCAAAAAAAAAAAAAAAAAAAAAAAAGGAAAAGAAAGAAAAAAAAAAGAAATAACTCATAGGCTGGACTTCGTTAAAATTTAAAACCTTGCTCTGCAAAAGACAATGTCAAGAGAATGAGAAGACATGACAGACTGGGAAAAAAATATTTGCAAAAAACCTTCCAATAAAGAACTATTAACCAAAATATTCAGAGAACTCTTAAAATTTATGAACAACGCATTTTAAAAATGGAGAGATCAAAACAGACACCTTACCAAGGAAGAGCTATGGATAGAAAGTAAGCTTATGAAAATTTTTTAGCATCATATATCATTAAGGAATTGCACACTAAAACAACATTAAGATTCCACCACATACCTATTAAAATGGCTAACATCCAGAACACTGACAACATCTAACATTAGTAAGAATCTGGAACAACAAGAACTCTCACTCATTGCTAGTGGGAATGCAAAATGGTGCCATTTTAGAAGACACTTTAGCAGGCAGCTTGACAGTTTCTTATAAAATCAAACTTACTCTTCTCATATAATCCAGCAATCATGTTTCTTGATATTCACCCTAACGAGTTGAAAACTTAGGTTCACTCAAAATCCTATTCATGAATGTTTACAGCAGCTTTATTCATAATTGCCAAGATTTAAAAGCCACCAAGATGTTTTTCATGAGATGGGTGGATAAATAAACTGAGGTACACCAACTCAATGGAATAAGTACTATTTATTAAAAAGAAATGAACTCTCTACCCAAGAAAGAAAACACATGAAAGAAAATAAAATTAATATTACTCAGTGCAAGAAGCCAGTCTTGAAAGACTACTTACTGTATAATTCTAACTGTATGATATTCTGGAAAAGGCAAAACTATGGAGTCATTAAAAAAAAAAAAGTGATTGTTATGGGTTAAGAAGAAGGGAGGGGGCCCGGTGCAGTGTCTCACGCCTGTAATCCCAGCACTTGGGGAGGCAGAGGGGAGAATCATGAGGTCAGGAGATCGGGACCATCCTGGCTAACATGGTGAAACCCAGCCTCTACTAAAAAATACAAAAAAATTAGCTGGGCATGGTGGCACATGACTGTAGTCCCAGCTACTGGGGAGGCTGAGGCAGAAGAATCGCTTGAATTCAGGAGGCGGAGGTTGCAGTGAGCCTAGATTGCACCATTGCACTTCAGCCTGGGCGACAGAGTGAGACTCTGTCTCAAAAGAAAAGAAAAAAGAAAAAGAAGAAGTGGGGGGAGGAGGAGGAGGAGGAAAGGAGGGCGGGATGAATAGGGAGAACACAGGATTAGGGCAGTGAAATTATTTTGCATTACACTATAATGGTAGATAAATATCATTAGACATTTTTCAAAACCCAAAAAATACAATATCAAGAGTGAAACAATATAAACTATGGACATTGGGTGATAATCATGTGCCAGTGTTAAGTCCATCAATAGTAACAAATATAACCATTCTGGTGCAGCATATTGATAGTGGGAGAGATTGCGCATGTGTGTTGACTGGTGAGTATACTGTAACTTTCTCTACTTTCTGTTCAATATTGCTGTGAACTTTAAAATGCTCTAAAATAAAGTTTATTATTTATATATGTATATATATACATGTTGCTTAAGTTTTCATAAAGCTGTAGTTACATATTGCACTCAAGCATTAAAAGCATAAATACATTCACATGCCCTGCTTTTGTATTTCATGGTTTCTAAAATCTTTTAACAAGGTAATACTTATTAATGGTTTTTCCCAGAAGACTGCATACACTCAATTTACCATGCATCTCACACACAATAATATGATTTTCTACCTAATATAGTATAGTTGTTGAGTGTGTCCATGTATCTCATACATAGCAAAATTAGGCAGTTTACACCGTAAGAGTTTGGAAAAGTAAAATCAAGGATGGGGAAACAGGTATAGGCAAGAGTAAACTCATTAGTTTGATAAGGAAACTTAGAGTATCAAAGACTTTTTGTATATAAAGTTTTAGGGAGTAATTAATCCAGAAGACATTTTCTTACATCTAAAAGCCTTGTCAGTCTATTACTTCCCTTTACTGCAGCCACTTGGGGAAAGAGAAGTTCTTCCTTTTTAACAGTTTCTGTTGAAGGTATTTCACAGAGAGAGAAGTGGAGATGCATGAAGAACCTTAACGGAAGTCATATGAACCTGCATTTTAATAATCCAGGACAAGTAATGTTACAGAATTAAAGAGCTATAGTTTCAGGAAATGCAAATAATCTCTTAAATTTAAACAACTAGAAGTAGAAACTGAATAAACTTGAAATTTATATAAAAGCCCAACAAGAAATAATCATTGTAATAATAATAAAGTAAGGCACCATTCAAAATGGAGCAAACAAAAGTAAGTCTGTGATACAGAACCACAAAATGCAAAATCAAAAGGATTCATTAGTTGTACCTGACAATTATTTTTCAATTTATGTGTTCAGAAAACATAAAGTACATATCTACATAAACCATCTAGTAACCATAATAAAAAACAATCTAATAAATACTTAGATATACATTCTCAAAATAACTGGTTGTACAAATTTATTTCAATTAACTTATACCAATAATACTTTTTGATGTTAATTTTAAGTAATTTGATCTAAATCTGTTCTTCTGTTACTTAACGACACTAAAAAGTTTGTTCTTTAAACATAATTTAACTATGGACATGTGTGTATACATGTATATTACATATTATTTATTTACAAAATATGTATAACACAACATTTTGAAGTTTTTTCCTTGAGATTTATATTATAATAGCATGGTTCTGGTTATAAATGGCTGTATAGTAACTATTATTTTTCAAAGTCCTGAAGCACTCACTTTCAGTGAGAGTCACTATGATTCACTAGGAGTTTGCTATGGATTCATTAGGAATCATAAAATTATTTCGATCAGATAAATACTGTTAGAAAATATTTTACAGTTGGAAAAGACAAAAGTGAAGCCTTAAATTGTTCACTTAGTGTTAGCATCTCATGTTTTAGAGGCAAAATTCCTTCTAGAATTCAATTCTTTAAATTCCCAGAGTTTATTATTAATGATGGGTCACACGAGTCTTCTTTGTTAATTGTAATTTGTGCTTACCTCTTGGTGTGTCCATATAAAATATTTTTTACTTTTCTTTATCATTGAAATACTTTGTTACTAGTTCTCTGTCATCAGGCGACATTGCTTTCAACTTTGCTGAAGCCATTAAAATTGGTTCCATCAAACAGCTTATGCCTATCTTGTAAATTCTCAAAACTACTCCATTCTGTTTTTACCCTCTCTGTTCTGTTGCCTGGTCATGTGCTGTTTTGTGTCTTCCAAGTCCTCTTTCTAAAAAGCATGCTTTCTCTTTCTTGTCTTTTTCTATCTTGACCTTTCAAGTTGTTCCTTTCTATTTGTACACTGAAGCTTTAAAGTCACAGACCAATGGTTTCCTCACATTCTTTAGCTAGACTTCATGACATCTGCCCATCTCCTTGGCATAAAACACTTTACTTTTCTGGTTCCACCTTTCTAATCTACTTTAAAATTTTGTTGTTGTTGTTGTTGTTTTTCCTTTTCCCTGCCTTCTAACTTTTGATTTTCTTAATATTCTACCATTGCCTTTTCTTATCAACTTCACCTTGGTAAGACCATCAGTTTAAAAACTAGAATAATAATGTGTTAATGGAACCCCTTTCCCTTACTTATACTTCAAATGTAGGGAGATTTTTTCCTACATTTAGGAAGGATAGAGGTATTCCCCTAAGGGACAATAAAATGTCCAATAATTTATTTAACATTGCCATCTACTTAATCCCAGCCTCTTAAACTAGACCCAGCCCAGAGTGAATTAAACCTCTTTCCTAAGAAAACTTTCTTTTTTGCAATTTGTATTTATATAAATGGCATTACCCTTTTTTACTTTCCTCCACCACTATCATCTAATATGAAAATTTTTGATTCCATCTGTTTCAACAATTGCATTGTTTCAATGCAATTCAATTCTTCAAGCTTAATACAAATGGTTTATGTAATTGTTCTCATGCTATTTGGTGGGAGGAAAACAAAATGTAGTATTGCCACCTCCATAAATACAGGATCAAAAGAAGAATACAACTATTATTGCTGATGATGCAAGGTAGAATGAGTACTGTCACAAAGTGAAGGTGGCAGGAAAAGAATATTCTAACAGCTTGCAAACCCTGCATTTAAATATTTATGTCATTTATCTTTCCTTTATCCAGTTTTCAAATTTTACTTTATTTCAGGACCTAATTACTTCTCACTCAAACTCACACTATGAATTTTCTTACATAGGTCTCATTTCCTCCCATTTCTCTCCTTTTCAATTACCTTCTCAAAATGTATTTTCTTATCTTCTCACTCTGCACAAAACAGTTACAATCATGACTTTCTACAAACTCTCATGGGCTACAACCACACTTCATGTAGAGTTATCTTTAAGGAACCATCCATATTCAATTTGGTATATTACTGTTACTGGAAACAATTGTCTTAAAAACTGGAATACGTTTTGTTTACAATTGTATCATGCACAACACCCAATCTAGCTTTTTATACATAATAGGTTCTTAAAAATATACATTAATTTTCACAGAATTAGGAGTATTTCTAAATTACTGAAAAGGGTCTCATAAAGTTCTTCAACAAAATTAATATTAATTATTTCCATTTAAAATTACCCAGAAAATATGCATTTATTTTTTGTCAAATGTATGTTACACGAACATGATGATAATTATGATAGTAATATCAAACAATAAGATATGATTATTTGCGATTTTATTATATTAGAACTTGCAAATATATAATTCATTTGATCTCCCAAAACATTATTCCATAAACATGCCATGAAAAAAAATGACAGGGCTTGTAGGGGTCAAGGGGCTTAATAAGGATCATTATCTCAGTATGACAGTATGCTGGACCAGGCGCAATGACTCACACCTATAATCTCAGCACTTTGGGAGGCCAAGGCAGGAGAATCACTTGAGCCCAGTTGTTTGGAACCAGCTTGGGCAACATGGCGAAACCCTGTCTCTATAAAAAATACAAAAATTAGCCAGGAGTGGAGGTGTATGCCTGTAGTCCAGCTACTCAAGAGGTTGAGATGACAGAATTGCTTATGCCTGGGAGATCCAGGCTGCAATGAGCTATCATCACACCACTGTACTCCACTGTATGTCTCAAAAAAAAAAAAAATATATATATATATATATATATAAAAGGTTTATCATCTTTTCTCAAATCAAATACCCTTTCTACTAACATTTCCTAACTATTGTACCAAGAAATAAAAGATAGCCTCCTTCATTTTCATTGAATTGCTCTGGGATTCTATTCTACAGAATTAAATAATTTTTGAAAGTATTTATTTTTTATTACACAATGTTATATTTTTTTCTGCACTAATGTTATGAAAAATATTTACTGAGCAGAATTCTTGGTGCTATGGGCTAAATTGTATCCCCCTCAAATTCATTTGTTGACGTCCTAACCCTCAATACCTGAGAATGTGCTTGTATTTGGAGATAGATGCCTTTAAACAGGTAATTAAGTTAAAATAAGGCCATCGCAGTGCACCTTAATCTAACTAAGCTTGAATCTTTATAAGAGGAAATCAGGACACACATGAGACACTAGGGACACGTGTGCATGCAGAAGAGAGACCACATGCATCCACAGAGAAGGTGGCCAAAGAGAGAGGCTTTAGAAGAATCCAACCCTGTCAGCACCTTGATCTTGAACTTCCAGCCTCCAAAACTGACAGAAACTTAATATCTATTGTTTCAGTTACCCAATCTATAATATTCTGTTATAGTAGCCATACCAAAGTAATATAATACACTTGGATAAGAAATAAAATATATTTTCACTGATTACGTTTGAGGTTTGGCGTAAAAGCAAATTTACTGGACTAAATGTTATGCTTTAAGCATTCCAAACAATGATTCAATGAAAAAATTAATGAACAAGATAAGTGTTTAATATACCAAAGATAAAGCTTATTTTTATGGAAAGGTTATATAAATGGAAAGATTTATATAGGAAGGCCAATAAAGAGATTTATTCCCTCAGGGTTATGCATAAGACTGAGTCAACCATCAATTGTTCTTCTTGGCCAAGAATCACACTTAGGCATAGATCCCGAGCTCAATGATTGGACTCTGGCATTTACTCACTTAAATTGTATAATATCAATAAAATTATGCTAATTTATAAATAAGAAGTCCCAAATATATAGCCAAAATAAAGATCACAACTTATAGATTATATATTAATCTTTTATTTGAAGATCAGCATTTTAAAGAACTTCTTTCACAGAGTCTCATATTGTGAATATTTATAAGATTATATGATTGTATGTGTGTATTATGTCTATACACATATATATGTACATATCTTAGAGGGAATTGTGTATATATACTTATATAAATATACATAATATATATACTGCACATATGAAATATTATCCTTCTATTCTAGTCAGTACAAACATAAACCAAAAGATTAAAAATTCAGGAGTAACAAAATATGTAAAAAGAAGTACATGAGAAGCTGCTATTTCTTGACAAGAGTATTAATAAATATAGGCTACTGTTCTCCTGCCACCTACACAAATTAAAAAATATTTTTATGCCAGAAATTAATATTAAAATCTTAATAATTTCCTGGAAATGCAAAAGGAATAGATCCTGCTGTGGACAAAAGAAAGAAAGAAAGAAAAAAAAAATGCACTGGAGAAAGGTGGTGGGGGGGCAGTTTAACTATAACAATATAATGTGAAAAGCTATTCTATATAAATACATTTCTCTCCTTCATAGTAGGCACATTATACTCTGATTCTAAGGAGCTGAAATAACATTAGCTGATCTTTGTATCGAGAAGTGAGAACAAAAACAATGTTGCACTAGAGGGCAGACGGAATGAAGGATGAGCAACAGGTATATATGATGCTTTCACTCCCAAGAATTGAATTGCTTCTGACCCTCTGTGATCATATGGTCATTGTATGGATTTAGTAATTTTAACTTTGAAACATAAATCTTAGAATTAAGCAGGCCTTAAGTGGAGGTATAGAAACATTTTCAAAAGGACATGTTATATTTTAATATAAGGAGGTGTGTGGACAAATGAGACCAGATCATAAAAGCAGTAGATTTGTACTTTGAGGCATCCCCTACCTCACTCTCTAACATCCTAAAAGCTTTATAAGGTATAAACCAGAAACTAGTCTTTTTCTCCCTCCCCTCAGTTTGTTATTATGATCTGAGGTAGATAATGGTTCCAAAAAAAAAAAAAAAATGAACTTACAGGAAAAAAAATGGATATATAAGGGACATAAAGAACTATAAAGGACAGCATACTGAACAAGAGTAGCAAATTAGAATTAATGAAAAATATGAATGTAATATAAAATAAGCATACAAATATAATCAAATAAATAAAACTCAAAAACGGAGTATGAACAAATATAAATGCAAATATAAAATACATTGGTGATACTAGATGATAAAATATGGTAGTTGAAATAATGAAAGAAATAAATGTGCACTTAAAATTAAAGAAAGCTTACATGAATACAAATCTACAGAAACATAGATGGAATTAATAAGAGAGAAAAAAGAAAATATAGTTAACAAAAATAAAACTTTAATACCTAGTCAATATGATTATATTATAAATCAGATTTATAAAGTTTTCAGACTGCTAAGCACTATAGAATTTTTAAAATTAACTTCTAGTTACACTATACAGAAAGTTCTGAATTCTCTTAAAAAGGAAATTATATCAATTAAAAGGAACAATTATTAGATACTTATTGGTTTTCACAACAGCAACTCTAGATGTGAGAAGTCAAAGGAATAATATTGTTGAATAGTTGACAGAAAATATTGTAGTCTAATTTTTTCCAGCAAACTGGCAGATATATGCAATGACAAAATAAAACAGCCTTTGTCATGCAAGGACAGCTTTTGTTAATAAACAATATACTATAGAAAGAAAAAATAATTTCAATATGTCATATATTTGGGATATGAATAACAATAATCACTAAATTATTTGTTAAAGATTAATGCCATCAACATAAATAAGAAACAAAGTTTTAAAATGATTGTAGTATGTTTATTACAATCAAGAAATTTATATAATATCAATATGATATGTGTTTTGGGTGTTGTGATATCAGTGAGCCAGAGGATTCCAAGATGATTCCAGGAAGTAAATAGCAAAATAGAAACATAAGCATGAGTGCGTGTATATATGCACTCGCATTCCATTTGTCCCATGTTTATTCACACATATATGTATATGTGTGCAATTCCATTTATCCCATATATAAATATACATATATATGAATAAACATAGGATAAATGGAATTGTGATAAACAAATGAATATAAAATGGAAAAGCTGTAGTAAATCATAACACAAATGTCATTAAAGCTAATACAACTAAGTTAAACTTATATCAAGGCACTAACTTCAGATTGGATAAGAAAAAATATTCTAGGTTTCTGAAATCTATAAGAGATACAATCAGAAGAACAAAGAAAGTTTAAAAATAAAAGCATTGCAATTTAAATAAGACAATTAAAATCAAAGAATCCTATTCAAGCCACTGTATAATTAAAAATAGAACTTAAGTATACAAATCATAAAGGATAAAGTCAAATTCCATGCAATATTTAAACATAGATGAATAGAATATAACAAGTATAAATCTATATATATATCTAAAAATGTAGCCTTTTTATATATTTATAAATAACAACTGATGAAATTATAGGTAAAAATGAATACATCTGTGATAATAGGTGGGATTGTAATGAGAGTTTTTTTTATCATTGTTCTTTCAGTGACTGAATAATTATGAAGGAATCAATAAAGAAGTGTACAAATATTTGATTATTGTATTCAATATGTTAATGTACATTACCCAAAATAACCAAAAATAATTTTATAGCATAAGTAAACTTAACAAAAATAGACCTTGTAAAGAATACAATGAAAGCATTAATAAATTGCAACACTCAAGAGCAGATAATATGTTCTCAGTGACTCATTAAATAGAATTAAAATGCAATAAAAATAGCTAAAAACATATATCCATACATACACACATATGTGTATATAATTATATATACATATATGTGTATATACTGTGTATGTATATGCTAATATGTATAATATACATATATACATATATATAACATAAATATATACATAATATATACATGCACATATACTACATACATATATAATATATATAGTATGTATATATATACACACACACACACATATATACACACACATACATACACACACACATAATCCAGGCATTTAGCTTAAAAAATCAAGCTCATTGTGATAGAAGGTAGACCAATAAAATCAAAATAATTCCCCTAAATAGTAATAATCAAATATCAATAGGGCTAGTATCATATAAATAATAATATAAATTATCAAATATCTAGGAATAAAGAAGAAAGCTTTAAAACTTTTAAATGGCTTAGACAAAACCTGAAGGAGATAGACATTAATAGCATTCCAAGATAAGTTCACTTTTTTTTAGGTATCCACTCTCAACAAACTTATATGCATTTTAATAAAATATATTAAAACTATTAAGCCTTGTAAGTAAAGAGTCGAAAAACTTTGAAATTAATTTCTGATAAAATTAAATTAGCAATCAAATTAACAGAAAGATAGCTAGAAAATCATTGATTACTTAGAAAATAGCACAATTTCATATAACAAGTGAAGGAAAAAATCAAAAGAGAAATTTAAAAGCATTCTGATCTGAATGAAAATGAAAATAAAATATATAAAATATATCAGTTTTAGGTACAGTAGTAACACTATGTGAAGCAGTAGCACTACACGACCAGACTGGAAAAGATAAGAAAAGATTCAAATCCAGTACTTCAACTTCCACTTAAGTATTCAATGGCAAAGACTTGGAACCAACCCAAATGCCCATCAATGATAGACTGGATAAAGAAAATGTGGCACATATAAACCATGGAATACTATGTAGTCATAAAAAAGAATGAGTTCATGTCCTTTGCAGGGACATGGATGAAGCTGGAAACCTTCATTCTCAGCAAACTAAGAGAGGAACAGAAAACCAAACACCGCATGTTCTCATTCATAAGCGGGAGTTGAGCAATGAGAACACATATACACAGGGAGGGGAACATCACATACTGGGGCCTGTCGGGGGGTGGGGAACAAGGAGAGGGAGAGCATTGGGACAAATACCTAATGCATGTGGTGCTTAAAACCTAGATGACAGGTTGATAGGTTCAGCAAACCACCATGGCACATGTATACCTGTGTAACAAACATGCACGTTCTGCACATGTATCCCGGAACTTAAAGTAAAATGAAAAAAAAAAAAAAATAAAGAAGAAGAATGCCTGGAACAGTGTTGGGCACCTAGCGGGCATTTGGGTTTTTGATTAACTAATTGAATGTTATGTTATGTTATGGCAAATAATGACTTTCACTCACTCACTATTTAGAAGTATCCTGAAGTATCTATATTTTTTCAAAATTCAGCTCAATTATATATTTTATTGGAAGTGGAAATAATATGAGGTAAAGAATGTCAGGATATCAGAAAAAAAAGAATTAGAAAAAGAAAAACAAATGAAACCAACAGTAAGCAGAGAAAGGACATAATATAGATTATAGTGGAAAATGATTAACTAGAAAACAGACATATAGAGAAAATCAATGAAAATCTAAATCTGACTCTTTCAAAATGTCAGTAAAATTTATCAGGCTTAAACTAGATTGATCAGAAACAAAAGAGAGAAACACAAATTACCAGTAGCAGGAATGCGAGAAGTGACACCATTGTAGATTTTACAGATATATTTTTAAAAATACTAATAAGGCAACATTGTAAAAAACATTAAACCAATAAGTTCAACAGCATAGATAAATGGACAAATACTTTGAAAGACACAAATTACCAAAGCTCACTAAAAATAATATGGATAACCTAAGTAATCCTGTAGTTATGAAAAACAGAACTTGTCATTAAAAACAGAAAACCAAATACCTCATGTTCTTACTTCTAAGTGAAAACTAACCATTGAGCACCCCTGGATGTAAATATGGGAACAATAGGCACTGTGGACTACCAGAGGGGTGAGGTAGGGAGGAGGCATAGTACCAACAGGTAGTTGGGTACTATGCTCACTACCCAGGTGATAGGACCATTACCCTAAACTTCAGCTTCAAGCAATATTTCCATGTAACAGACCTGCATGTGTACCCTCCGTATCAAAAAAAAAAAAAAAAAGCCTTCAACAAAGAAAACTCTATGCCCAGGTGATATCACAGTATCATAATAAATTCTACCAAACATTAAAAAAAATTTAAATAAACTATTCCAGAAAATTGAGGATAGAATATTCTTAACATGATATAAAACAAACATAACCGAAAACAGAACTAGCAAACAACAGAAGCAAACTTTAGACCAATATCCCTCATGAACATAGATGTAAAAGGTTTTCAGAAAATGTTAACAAGTAGATTCAACACTATACAAAAAAAAGACCAATTTGAGTTTATCTCAGGAATACAAGGTTGCTTTAACATTAGAATAAAAAAGAATATCATTCATCATATACACAAATGATCATCCCAATAGATTTCTAAAAAGTATAAGATAAATCGAGCTATTGTTCCTGATTTTAAAACACTAAAAAAGAATATTTCAGTAAAGAAGAAAGGAAAATTCCCCAACCCGATATAAGTTACCTATAACAACCTGAAGCTAATATACTTAATTATGTAAAAATGAATGTTTTCCCCTTTGATAGGAAAAAAGGAAAATACATCTTTTCTTACTATTCCTAGTCAAGTTTCCAGTCAATACAGTAAGGCACAAAAAACTTATATAGTCATTTGGATTGGTGGGGAAGAGGAAAACCTTTTTTTTCCATAGACAACATATTACTCTACAAAAAAAAGAAAAATCTTCTTGAACTAATAAGAGAGCTTAACACATGTCTCAGGATACAAGATCACTATTAACAATCAATTGTGTTTCTACAAAAGTGAAGTTTTTGAAAATACCATTTACAATAGCATCAAAATTATGAAATACTTGAGGATAGCTGGAAAATTTGTGTAAGATCTGGAAACTGAAAACTAAAAAAGTATTACTAAGAGAAATTAAACATTAATGATGAAATACAGTCTGTTTATATAGTAAAATTATCAATTTTTAAGATGTCAATTATTCCCCAAATGATCTATAAATTCAATGACATTCCAATGAAATTTTCAGCAAGTATTTTTATAGAATTTGGCTTGCTGACTCTAAAGTTTACATAGAAATGCAAAATATCTAGAATAGTGAAAACAGTTTTGAAAAAGAAAAAAAGTTGAAGGATATATACTACCTGACTTCAATAATTATTACAAACCTACAGTCAACAAGACAGTGTAGTATTGTTATAGAAAAATGCAGCAGATTAAAGAAAAACCCCACTTTGGGAGGCTGAGGCAGGCGGATCACCTGAGGTCAGGAGTTTGAGACCAGCCTGGCAAACATGGTGAAACCTAGTCTCTACTAAAAACACCAAAGTTAGCCAGGTGTGGTGGCACACGCCTGTAATCCCAACTACTTGGGAAGCTGAGGCAGGAGAATCGCTTCAACCAAGGAGGCGGAGGTTGCAGTGAGCCAAGATCATGCCACTGCACTCCAGCCTAGGAGACAGAACGAGACTCCAACTCAAAAAAAAAAAAAAAAAAAGAAAAGAAAAAAGAAAAACTCACACATATACGCTCAAGTGATTTAAACTAAATGCAAAGGAAATTCAGTGAAGAAAGGATAATCTTTTCAAAATAAATACTGTCATGTAACATTATACATTAAGGAAAATTAAGCAAAAACTTTCATCTATACCTTTATCGTGTACAAAAAATTAACTCAAAATGAATCTTAGAACCATTTTTAAGCCTAACCCTATAAAACTTCTAGAAGAAAATATAGCAGGAAATTGTTGTGGGTTTGAATATGGCAAATATTTCCTAAATAAGACAACAAAAACACAATCCGAAACAGCAAAAAAACCCTACATAAATCAGGTTTCATTAAACTTGAGTGATTCCGCTATTCCAGAGCCACTTTTAAGAGGATCAAAAGACAAGTCATAGACTAAGATAAAGTAGCATAGATAAATCTAAAATATTTAAGCAAAATGAAAAAAGAAAGACAAAAAGGAGCACAAATTGAGTACACACAGTAATGTTCCTTTATCTGCTGTTACATGGTTACCTGCAGTCAACTGTGGTCCACAAATACTAAATGGAAAATTTCAGAAACTAACAATTCATAAGTTTTAAATTGTGGCTCACTATACAATTTGATTTATATAAAATTTTAGAAAATGCAAACTAATCTGTACTGACAAAAAGCAGATCAGTAGTTGCCTATGATTAGGAGCAGTATTGAGAAAAGGTGTGTGGTCCATATTACCAAGGGATACAAGGAAGCTTTTGGGAGTGGATAGATATGCTCACTATCTTCACTGTGGTATTTTCTCGCTGATGTATACGTATGTTAAAAATTTCAAATTTACATTTTAAACTTGTGAAGTTTATTGTATGTCAACTTTATCTCAATAAATCTGAAAGCTAAAAATAAAGCAGATTTTTTTAGTTACTTGGCAAATGTATTCCAAAGTTTACATATCATAATAAACTTCCATAGAAGAGCAAATTTTGAAAAAGAAGAAAAAAGAGGAATTAGTCAATATTAAATATCCTACTAAAATTTTTAGTAAAAATAAGTGGAGCTAAATAGAAAAAAAATCAATAGAATGTAATTAAGACTTTGGAAAACAGATCAATGTAGATGATATATAGATGATAGATAATAGACAAATATAGACAGACAGATACTTTGACACATTAACTGGCACCACAAATTGATTAGGAATGAATTAACACTGTGTGGTGACTCTTATTAAAGGATAGTTTCTGACAGCAGGAAGTTGAAGTCAATGAAGTTTCCATCACTAGGAAATAAATACTATGTGATGAGCAGGTACTGTATAAAACTTGTGGATTAGAAACAATTAACAATTAATAATCACATTGAGTGAAAACTAAAACAAATATATACATTTAAAATTTAAAAATACCAAAGATGCATATTAAAAGTACCAGCATATATTCTTTGAGGATATAACCATGATAAAGGACATACACTAATGTACGTTAGAGTGGTTCATTACGTAAAGATAGTGGGGGCATGGGTCTCAATGGGGCTGAGAAGGTAATAATTAAAATTTTTAAAACTATTTTTCAAATAAAAAAGAAAGACCTTGCATAGACTAATAATAGTGCAACTTAGGAGTGAGATTAATCCAACTCACTATACCTATAAATAAAAGAAACAAAAGCAAACTTAATTATTCTTTACCTTAGTTGGTTATTGTAATTTTTTTCTTAGAATTCTACTTTTTACAGAGAAAAAAGATAGAACTAACACTTTTAACAAGTTACACGTTTCTGTAAAATAGCATGGAAAAGAGTATCAACAAATAATTATTTTTTAACAACTCAAATAACAGATGTTATCAGCAGCTCAAATGTGAACAGATAACAACATAACTGAAAGTAATATTTTTAATTGAGTTACATCCAGGGCTTAAAGCCATTTGAGATATCTGAAAAATCGAGAAATTCTATCATTGACAACATTCATGAAAATTGGCCAATGGTGGAGGAAACTAAGTTTCTAAGTAGTGATTCAATATAACAAACCCACGGCCAAGCCTTGGTGAGTAAGTGTAAGGGGCACAGACCTGTGGGGCAGGATTTTAAGGCCAACTACAGGACTCTGTCCCTCACTTCCTGCTTCTTGAATAAAGTACATCAGATTAAGACATAAGCAGATGCAAAATACGTCTACTCTTCAGCAATAACGTGTTTGTCACTGGTGATGCTCTGTCATATATGGGTAATTTTCTAAAAAATACACATTTTGTCCATTTTGTTTAAGTGCTCTGAACAAATGAAAATACCTTTGTGCACAATCCAAACATGAAGATCCTCCTGCTAAGAGATTTTAGTAGAAACAGCACTTTTTGGCATTTTTTTGGTTATCTGTAAAAGTAATTAATGAATAATTTGGCCATGATTATCAAATCCAATAGGAAAGAAAGAAGCATAATTAAAGTAGTTAAAAACATTATTTCTTCACCGTTTGAAATATCCTGACATACACACTCTGTTGTCAAGCATTTATCCCTAAACTATAATGGCCTCTTTTGATAGAAAATCTAATGTAATAAAAAACAGGAAATGAGATCAAAAGTATGAAGTAGTATTTATCAAAATGTTAACTGCCTGCATTACCTTTTATTTTAGAAATGAACTTCGGCATAGCCAGAAATTTAGAACAATTTTAGAACAACCTTAGAACAATGAATTGAGTAACATTAAGGTATTATATGTGGGAGAATCTTCAATAACACTTGAAGGGATCAAATCTGAAACAATTTACTCAGCAAGCTCACGGTGGATTTTTAGTCCAGTCACATGCAGTGATGCTACAAAGACCTTGCCGTTCTTATATTCTCCTTGAAATATCTTCATTTCTAGCATACTATGAATTTATCTAAATAGAATTGTATAAATTTTAAGCCCAAATAGTTATTGGGATTATATAGAAATAATAGTGATGTTAGTATGTTGTTTAAACTAGACTTAAACAATTTTGTGAATAGGTATGACCATAGATTTTTCATTCCTGTCTTTTGCATTCTATAATAGGATTGTCAGATACAATTTTCTCCAGGTAATTTGGAAAGATTATGTGCCATTCACACACATAAATGCACACACACATACACACCCCATCACATCTCGCATATGTATTATATATACATACTCTAGGATTGAAATATTTGAACAAATCTCAACCTCTGTCAGCTCTTTTCTTATTTGGAAATAAATTAGAAGAATAATGATCTATTTTGAAAAGACGTTGATGAGCATTTAAAGCAGTCTGCTCTTTGCTGTCAAGTAGTATCAATAATTATAACTTTCTTGACAAAATAGAGTTTTGAAACTGGATGAAAGAGTCAATATCATTAATGTCAAGAGTTTATTTCTGCAGAGAAATACATTGCCTTCAAAAAAAAGGCATGTTTTAAAATACGTTCAGTTGTCATACCACCAATTTTAAATCTATGGAATCAAATGAAATTTGAAATGTTACTTGGCTTTATAGTCAGTTATTAATTTAATAGGGAACACAGCCTAATGCCCATTTTGATTTGTGGTTCTCCTAGTCAGACCTGCATTCTGATTAATCAGTGGCTGATTAAGCACCCAATCTGACTCAGTTTCCATCAAGCAAGTTACTCTCTGTTCTCATCTCATGTGATGGCTGGCATGTCAAACCTGAGTAGTTTGGAACTACCATGGGTTCATTTTCACATAGTGTAGTGTCTTAAATTTGTGTAGACAACACTCAGAAACATTCATAGACAATTTAGTAGTTTTCAAATAAGATAAAATAATAAGAATCTATATCACAGTAGTGATCAATATTCACAAGGTAAGTTTTCCAACTTGTGAATCATTAAAATGACATATTTTGATGGTAACAAGTTAATATGATCTGATCAACCTTGATATCAAAATTACTTATCCTGGGTATAGCCTACTTCTATTTTTCTCTTATTTCTTACTGTGAGCTATAGTTATGGTTGCCCTATAATTTATTGTTTAAACCAGGACAGGAGAGTGAAATAGGGCACAATTAATTATCAATTCAAGATGCTATGTATTAAGTGAAATTTTCTGGAAAAAATGGGGCATATGTTCATCCTAGCTCTAATGGAAAAAGACAAAGCACAGATGGTCAGGAATCCTAAATTCCAGTGCTAGTTCATCATTTGCTAGGGGAGAAATCCTGCACAAACCCCTTTATCTATCTTAGACAAAATTTCCCCTTTATAAGTCAGAATACTAACTCTTGCTGTGTCTAATTTCCAAGATTATTGTGAGTTTAAAAATCACATAATTTAATAAGAATTCAGTCATTTTTGTGATATAAAAAAAGTATTTAAAATGCTAGTTCATTTCTACCATAATTTTTATAATTCAGGAGCAAGAGAAAAACAAATTATTCACTATTATTGCTTGAAAACCATACATATGCATGAAAAAGATTTATCATTTCATTTGTTATGAATTATTTCATTTAATGAACACTGCTATGTATAACATTATGTACTAAAAATACAAAGGAAGATAAAATGAGGCTAGAAATGTAGTTAAAGGTCCTATCATTTGGAACCTAAAAAAGCAGATGTTGAACTTCGTATCATGGAGAGATTAGGAATGACTATTGGCATAAAGTCCAATTATACAATAATCTAGGATGCTTGAGTGAAGTAATGGGTGGCATTATGAATGGACAGAATGTAATATTTGCCAGTAGAATGTATATATGTATACATTCATTTATAATGTATGTATTTGTATATAATGTATATTAATGTATATATCTGTATATAATGTATATATTTATATACACATTTGTATATATGTATGTATATACATTGTATGTAATGTATATATAGATATATACATTTGTTTATAATGTATATATTCATATTTGTATACAATGTATATTAATATATGTGTGTATAATATATATCAATGTACCTATTTATATTAAATAATAGAGCAAATACATTATTTGCTAGTAGAACATATATATTTATTTTTATTCTGTATGTTAACATATATATTAATATATATATAGAAGCATGCATATATAGCCTAATATGATGGAAGTATAATAGATTTAACTATATTTCAAGAAATAGTATCTATGCATAGATAGATAAATATGTACATATTTCTAAAGGAGAAGAATCAGGAATTTTAAAATTTCTTTCCTCATAGAACTATGGCATTATTTTTGCTATAACCATTTACATAAAGTACTATATTGTTACAGATATCAAAAATGTTCAAATTTATGGTTGCTTATGAAATTGTCATTAGATTTTAAAGCCTGTGAAGAAAAGGCCATACATATTTTATCATCTTTGAATCTTCTATAGTCCTGGAAATATAGTTTACCATGTCAACTTTCAATAAAATGAATTAATAGTAAGTACATCTTAAAATAATCCAGAGAAAAATAAAACTTTAACACTTCAATAAGATAATTGGCAAGTAAGTAAATATATCTTCCTTTTTACTTTGAGAAAATAGAGTCACCTATTTATCCAAAATGTAAATAAGATGGAAGAGATTAATCATAGGTCATGTAATGACACAGTAAGATTTTGTGTTTCTGTTCTTCTTTCCTTCCTCCTCCTCTTCTTATTCCTCCTCATTCTTTTTTTTTCTTCTTCTGCTAGAAAGCAGAAGAAGAATATGTAGAGTAAGAATGGTTTGATAGAGGAAAAGAATGTTATTGGCTCTCTCCCATTCAGGATTTGTCAAAGAGGGATTTAGCAAGCTCAGAATATACAATTTACAGAAACATTTTTAAAGTCTTATAAATATTCAAATCACCTATATTTAATTATGGAAAGTATCTTATAAAGACATCTTTACAATTATATGTGCACACATATGCACATACTGCTCTTCTGTGACATAAAGCAATATCTAAATTATGTGTTAAATAAAATCTGCACACATTTAAAATCTCCTTTTTAAGGAAGCTACTTTAATCTTCCAAAGTAGTGAAATTCTTCAATAAAAGCAAGTTTTATAAGTTTATTTAATCTTTACAAATATTCCTTCCCTTTTCCTGTTGATTTTTTAAAAGTTTAGTTTAGATAGTTCAAACTCAAGTGCCTCTCTTAAAAAGCTCTACTGAGAAGTCATTAAAACTTGCCCACTGTGCTTCTGCAAACTGAATCTGATTTTGTGACCTTCCTATTTCACTTTAAAAAAAATTCAATCTGTCTGAAATCACTAGCTTAGTTCTTTTTTCGTCTTTACCAAAATCCTCTCTATTGACCTCGGTTGGTTTGACCCTCACCCACATACAGTCTGATTAATACCAAAGTGGAGCTGCATTAAGCATTTGCTTTGACGGGCTCATTATTTTTGCTCTTTGTTATTTTTCTTTGAGTCCCTTTTGATATGTATGAATTCGCTGAAAACTGCCAAGAGGCTTATGGTGATCTTATGCCCCACTAAATAGGCTTTTATCTATGCAATTTAAAATGGTACAGCAATATTAGAATATATCACCCTTTTTACTTTGAGAACGTAGAGCAATCTATTTATTCAAAGAAATCAAATAAGAGGGAAGAGATTAATCAGAGGTCATGTAACGGTGTCTTTCCTTGGGAGCAACATCCTGAACCTTTGTAGAAAAGCTGTTTACAGATGATTTCTGCAACTGACTGATCTGCTTCTTTATAGTTCTCTCTTAATTAACATAAATATTAACAATATTAAATACAAGGATGCCTGCACAAATACTAAATACTTCAGTTATTGCAAATAATGCAAATACACTGTGCAGCAATCCAACACTAAATGGCATCCCTGAAAACTTCTACCATTTTTCCAAGCTCAGTACCAGAAACGTAAAGCTATACATTTACATATATCCTCTTTTTCCCCATGACATATATAGTATGCTTCACATGTACAAATATTTCCAGGAAAACTCTGTCATACATGATATAACTTGGCATTTCTTATTCCCCAAAAGCATGTTGATATGGTTGCTAAAGAAGCAAGAGGAAAACATAGAACTTTTAATGTCAGTTATAAACAAGGTATGCAGAAATTTGCATGCTGCTACCAACAACAACAGAATCATATATGCAATATTTTCTTTTTTCTTACTACTGAGTACTAAAGTCTAATTATGAATATGAAAGTATTTTTGTTTTTTCTATTTCACAGATAATAGATTAGGCATTGAATTAAACACCACAGATAATTAGGGGGCAATTGGCTATAATTTTCTGAATTTTTTTGAAAGAATTTTCCATTGGTACATTAAAGGTGTAAAATATTTTCTTTTTAATATTATATTTATTTTGCTAACATAAAAACCTAGTCTTATAAAAAGCTATACAACAAACACTTCTATTTATTTGTGTTTCATATTTTTCAATATTATTATTTACAAAACAAAAGAAAATATGCAACAAATTGTAAAAAAAAAAACATAGCAAATAAGATACTAGGCTTTGGAGTCAGACATTCCAACTTCATACTATTACTTGCCTGTCACTGAACAAGTTACTAAACTTCTTCAAGCTTAAATTTCCTCACTTCTGAAATGGGAATGAAGAGCTGAAAAAAATAATTTATGTGTAAGCTATTTATCATAGTGTCTGGCATACGATAAAGTCTCAATAAAGAGTGAAATTAATAATCATTGTGTGATTGAGACTCACTAGCATTAGAAACTGGGATGATAGTATCACATGGAGGAAAACTATCAGAATCCATACTTGTTATTTTTGTCCAGCTTGTTCTATTATGAATCAGTAAGAGCAGCTTATGGAAAATGACCATTCATGCTTTAGCATGTGCATCTTACATCTATAGAATCTTTCCATGATATCTTTTGTGGTAAATAAATATTTATTGATGTAATTTATTATTTACTTGTAATAAGGCATTTAGTATGCACCTTTACTATTGAAATGAAGCAACATTAGGGTTTTAAAATGTTCCTTTTTATGACATAGTCTCTAAGGAAGGTCAAAAAAATTAAGAAATTAATGACAATGAAATAAGTATCCCCACAATGATCCTATTAACTTATTATTTATGTCCATTGTAATTTTTCATTATTTACTTCCTTAGACATAAGAAAGTGATTTCCAAAACAAGACACTAAGGCACCAGCTGAAAACTAGAAGCACCCTCAAAATCCTCCCTTTCACTTCCCTTAATGAAATTAGAATAAGAATTTTGAAGGAATTGCTGCTCATGAAGTTGCCTGACATGACACACAGACTTACATTTTCATAGCATGTTCTGTCTCTCTCATGCTAAGTTTTCATTTCCTGCCCCAGAGATATTCAGGCTTCAAAGTGTGCAGTTACAAGTGATGAGGTTCATTCATTAGTTTCAAAGAACAAAATATTAAGTGGAAATTGGAGTGAGAAAATGAACAGAGATATAGTACATAGAGGCATGGACTAGAGGCTCTGAAATAAGGCCTGAGTTCAAATACTGGGTCTGGCATTTTAAATCTGTATGACTTTGGGCAAGTCTTTACATCCCATAAACCTTAACTTCTTTATGCTTAAATGTGAATGTGGATAATAGGAATGCTCACATTGCAAGTTGGTTGTAAGAATTGTAAGAAAAAATGCCTGTAAAGTGGCTAACACAGTGCCTGGTGTACAGTGAACACTCACTGAATAAAGACTCACTGTACTATTAGGGTGGCAGCAATAAATCTTTCCTCCCAATAAGAGGGAATGCAAATGTTAGGGGCCACACAGAACAAAATATACTGCAATTACTCAATGTAATATTCACACTGAAATAAAAAATGACAGTTTCAGAGCAACTATTCTTGGAAGATGACTTGTTTCTTTGATCCAATCTCACATTTCCTCTAATGATTGATGAAGCATAATCTAAATTACTATTAAGTCCTTCTTTCCACTGTAGTCATATTTAGTAAATGAGTGCTTTTAAAAATTAATTTGATAAAAGTGTTCAAAAATTATATATATATATAATTTCATGGTTTCCACAAAGGAAATAGAGAAACTAATATTTATTGCATATCAATGAGGAGTTTATTAGCCTTCTTTAAGTGTGCTTTATAATAAAACTGCAATATATACAGAATCCTGCAAAATAAAACTTTTTAGCTCCATGGTGTATTGAAGAAACCAAGGCTCAGGTGAAGCATTTTTACAATGTAACATAGTAATAAATAAAGGTCTGTGAGTTCTTATAAAATAAATCATTACTTAAGGTCACTGAATTTTCTCATATGGACAAAATCCATGGCTAATCCCAAGCTAATTAACTAACTAATTTTTCTGCTTTTCATTTGCTTTTTTTCCTACAAATGAATTCACCTTAAAAAGTGATATCAAGTAAAAATGTCCTAAGTGACATGAAGAATTTAAAAATCTAATGCTTTATCCGGGCAAGCATATCTGAATCCATAATGCAGATGAGATACTCAAAGACTCTAACTTAATTAATAAATACCTTTCGTACAGTAAGAATCTTAAAATATCAAAACCAGTGTGAATTACTGTGAAGTGGACTATTTGCAAGGATATCCAAAAATAATTAATAACCTCCTGAGGGTCTGGTATAAAGGAACATTTTAAAACCCTAATGTTGCTTCATTTCAATAGTAAATATGCATACTAAATGCCTTATTACAAGTAAATAATAAATTATGTCAATAAATATTTATTTACAACAAAACATATCATGGAAAGATTCTATAGATGTTAAGATGCACATGCTAAAGCATGAATGGTCATTCCATAAGTTGCTCTTACTGATTCATAATAGAACAAGATTGACAAAAATAACAAGTATGGACTCTGATAGTTTTCCTCCATGTGATATTATCATCCTAATTACTAGTGCTAGTGAGTCTCAATCACACAATGATTATTAATTTCACTCTTTATTGAGACTTTATCATATGCCAGACACTATGCTAATAACTTCCTGAGGGTCTGGTATAAATTCATTATACTTTGACTTCAAAATTTGGACTGAAAAATAAATCTTGAAATCTATAGTATTTATGCAGTTAACTATTTGATTTTATTCACATTTAACACCCAGACTGTGAATTTGTTGATGTAAATTAAATTTCTCTTTAGATCATCAGGAGTGTATATCCACAGGCATTAATTAAAGTTTAAGATCAATCTTTTTCAAGCCAGTTGGTTAGACCCCTGGCATCCATTAACCACGTATTCTAGGTACTTACAAGAATTGACTGATAAGCCTATGAGGCAAGCACTTTTATTAACCCCATTTTACAGATAAGTCACAGAGCATTAAGTAGCTTGTCCAAGGTCAAACAACTAGTATGTGGTGAACCAGAATTCAATTTAGGCAGTGCAGCCCCAGAGCTAATATTCTTTGTCACTGTATTGTGCTGCCTTTTATAGAGAAAATTAGAGCTAAAAATAACCTCAGACTGCCTGAGATAAAGTATTACAATGCTATATATCTTGTACTGGTAAAATACTACATACTACAGATTCAGATATTAGACTATTCATACAAGAAGTCATTTCAAAAACCAGTTTTTCAACACACAGGTAGTCCCCCAAAATCATAATGGTGTGAGGAAATGTATAAGACATAATGATTAATTTTTAGTAGTCACTCACAAAACATAAACACACATATATCTACACATACTCATGAGAATGCTCTTGCATGTGCGCGCACGCGCGCGCGCGCGCGCGCGCGCACACACACACACACACACACACACACACACACACACACACACTATAATACTGGCATAAGCCCTGAGCTTATCAGTTCTCACAGTACTGAGTTATTTGAAGCAGTAGCTGAAGGAGAAAAAAGGCAGTTTTATGATCCGATAAAAACAAATAGTAAAGAGACGATGCTCTTTAAATAGTTTCCAAGGTAACACGTTATGGACTTGGAATCTATAAATAGGGGTATTGAGGAGTCTAAGCTCAGGAAAAAAGAGAAATTAATGCTACTATTTCAGAAAAATGAATGTAAATCAAATGAAAAAATTTAAATCTGTTAGAAACAGAGAAAAGTTATAGAAATTGTATTTATGTTGATTACCTACACATATTACAAATGTTACAAATCTATAATTACTAGTTTAAAAAATGAAGATATTAAAATATAAATTCATAAATTTAAATTTCCATAAATTGATTAATATAATTAAATATAACTATATACTTATATATTATTGTCTTAATAATTAGTATACATCTAATTAATTGTAATACAGGAAGCTAATAGTGTTTAATAGGATGTCATTAATAGGCTTAGTATATATTTAATTAATCCTATATGTTTAAATTAAATATCATACACCTAATAAGAATTGAAAAGGCAGTTAAATTTTCATTACTTTTACAGAAAGCGAACTTACTATTAAAAAGATCAAAGATATAACTGCATTATGCTTGCAAATAAAACATGATAGAAATTACTAAAGCAAAACTATGTGATTAATAAAGGATTACTACTTCTTTGTTTTCGTTTTGTTTGCATACTATTAGAATTTATTTGCTATGATTCTAAAGAACCAATGTAAAATGTAGCCACAAGTGTTTTTTCACCAATGCCGTCCACACAAAAAATTGTTCCCAAAAATTAGTATAAAGGGAATGATAATATTCATCTCTTGTAGGGATATGTAGACTAAGGTTCTTTTTTATTTTTATTTATTTATTTCAGAGACAATGCCTTTCTCTGTCACCCAGGCTGAAGTGCCGTGGATTGATCATATGATCATAGCTCATTGCAAATTTGAACTCCTGGGCCCAAGCAATCCTCCTGCCTTAGCCTCCTAAGTAGCTAAGTCTACAGTTGCGTGCCACCAGACTCAGCTAATTTTATTTTATTTTTTAATATAGCTGGGGTCTCACTGTTTTGTCAAGGCTGATCTTGAACACCTAGCCTCAAGCAATCCTCCTGGCTTTGCCTCTCAAAGTAGTGGGATTACAGACATGAACCACTGTCCCCGGCCAGTTTTAAAACTAAGATTAGCTTTTAAATGTTTTTCATCTTTGTAATGAACTTCTGTTTTTGAAAGGTTCACTTAGTCAACCAGTGAGTGCTGGGGACTGTTTCAGGCATGAACTGTAATAGAATGAAGCTTTACTAATTGTCTGGTGCCGATACTCATAATCAGGTGTAGACATAATACTCTTCCACAGTTCCGTCAGTTCATGCAAGGAAGTGAAGTACCAATGCATCAAAACAAAACTGAAAATATGAGTTTTTATGCTCAACCATACCTAATAGAAAAAGCAAACAAACCTCTGTATTTTTCATTATGGTATCATTTAAAATGCTTTCATCTCCTTATGACTGTCAAAGCTAATGCAATTAAAAAAGAGAGCTGTCACGTTCAAACTATGCAGAAGAAAATATGAAAACTGAGTAATGTTTGGCTAGCTCAGGTAAAGTAACTAGTAAAATCACACTACCACATTAACTAGTAGCTATATCACTTTTTCTGAGTGTGAAGTATAACTCTCTCACATACACAAAATATAATGAATGTAAAATTAAAAGAATACTTTAAGAATAAATCTCCATTATTCATAATTCTAAATTCTATATTCCTTTGTTACTTGAAGAAATAAAAAATAAGTCTACATTTGGGGGATTTATCATTATAATCCATGAAAATAAAATCATATTTATGAGTGCTCTGAAAGAGTCAAATGGCATTTAAATCACATCACGAGTGCATCTAGTTCAATTTAATTGCTAATTTGCAAGAGGTTGAAATCCAGACATTGAGATAAAAGTGCATAAATTTATATTCAAATGCAGTTTCTCATAGTATAAAATGCATGTGGCATAAACTTTAGGTGGGAAATACTTTTTAATAGCATCAGGACAAAATATGCAATGAGTTTTACAATATATTACATTATATTATTTTCTCTTTTTAGAAAGGTATATGGCATAATTTTGTAATGAGGGGAAAATATTATATATACACAAAATTTGACATGAATTAATTTCCAGATATGTTTACCTTATCATTGACTTCCATTCACCATTTTCTCTATTTTATTATTACTTTCTTTCTTAATTTTATTTTCCACACCCTTCTACTACAATGTATATTATCTGCAACTATTCTAAGAACCTTCTTTTAAGACTATTCTGGATTATACCTTCACATTTTATCCCACCCAGTGATTATCTTTTGACCTCTATTACTAAGGGCTAAGAGTATTATGTGTATTTATAATCCCAGAGTTTGTCTGGTAAGGATGAGCCTCGTTTATGGACAAACTGTGCTTCACTAAGCAAAGCTTACACACAATGCATACCAAATATGGTCCCAAACTTGCAGGGATATATCAGAAGGCACAAGTTCTTCAAATCAAAAGGAGACTTTATACCCTATATTCAAGAAGGATGCCAAAAGCCAGAATGTCACCAGGGAAGATAAGAAACTACTTCTCTACATTGATAAAAGGAGGTGAAACTTTATCATATTATAAGACCTAATATTGAGGTGCTTGCTGGCTTCTGGGATAAATGTTCTAGTTAGAAAGAATAAACAAAGTTTCCTTTAATGATGTAACAGCATGTAGCCTAGAATACAATACAAAAATACCCCTCAAGGACAAAATATAATTTATAGAAGTGTTTTCTTTGGCCTACTTTTTTTTCATTGAATTTTAATCCTTGAGGGAATGGTATGAAGTTTTAAATTTACTTCAATTCTACCACTACTGATTGTCCAGGACTGGCACAATCTACTTCAATTGCTTATTCTCTATTAACCGAGGTTAGTTATGTCTAATTTATAGCAATAAGTTTTCCACTGTGTTATGTGAAGCCTTGGGTTTAACAAAGAAGTCTCTGGGGTTCCACCAGAGAGGAAGATAAGATGTGAAGAAGGAGCAGATCATGGGGCATTGAAGAACTCAACTTACATTCACTGTATATATTGGCTATCTATGTATTACTATTTTATTTTAAAAAGCATGCATTGCTTCTATAAAGAAAAAAGATGTTTTGTAATTGCTGTACTAAAATGTAGTTTAATTTCATTATTGGGGTCCGATATAGGGATCATCTTCCTGAAAAAATGTTATGAAAAGACCATTTTTACTTGCATAACTCTCTTTAGATTGATTCTGAAATAGAGCAGCCTTTTACTGACTTCCTTTACAGAAAAGATGCTGTTAAAGTTGAAGGGTGTGTGTGTGTGTGTGTGTGTGTGTGTGTGTGTGTGTGTGTTTTAATGTGTATTCCTGCACATATAAACCACAAGTATATCTGATTCTACTAGAGTAACTGCATCAGTTTAATTCTTCCTAAGTAACTGTTGCGGAGTATTTCAGAGCTGGAAGGAATCTTAGATGTTCAGTTGTGTCCAGCAAGTATAAATAAATTTAATTAAGTTCCAGTCAACGGGGATGCTAATAAAGATGGATTTTTTGAGGGGACAATTCTTTCCTTGTCAGACACTTATCTTATACCCAAGCAAGGTAGTTAAGAATTCCTTAGGGTGACTGAAAAAAAATCTCATTTCCTACATTTCCCATTGACCTTTCTACTGGGGATGTTAAACCCTCTAGTTTAGAATCACAGGTTATCATTTAAATTGAACATGGGCCAAAGCTCTAGGTTCAAAGTGCTGGTCTTTTCCCATTAAATAAGCACTTATAAGGTAATTCATAAATTAATAATTTAATATTTTGAGAATTTTTAATTATTTTATCCATTTGACATGTGAATATTAAAACTTATTACAAGTTACTTTCATGTAGCTGTAGTATATGTAGAGCACATAAGTTTTTTTGAAAGCCTGGCTTTGTTCTGTCTGTGAAATTACTTAGTTTGCTTTTTTTCTTCAAAATAAATGTCAACGATGTTTATGCTATAAGCAATCTATTTTCCTACCTTGCTATAAGCAAACATATTTCCAAAATTTTCAAAAATATATATATGGTGATTCTCAAATTTGTTTTCTAAAAGTAAAGACCAGTGTATGAATTTTAAGTATTGGAAGTCTAAGGTTTCCAAAAAGTCAACAAACCTAGTTTAAGGGATTAGAAATACATGGTTTCTGTACATTCCTAGGACAACCCTATTCAAACATAATGTATTTTCTTTGAGATTGATAAGAAATTGTAGATATTTCAGGTGAGAAAAGTTAAAATTTCTGTTTTGTGCATACCTTGTATGAAATGTAAGAGGAATACCAAGTAAATCTGCCATTAAAATATATTTTTATCATTGAGTTATATATTTTCTATCCCAGATAATAATATATGCCAATGGGTCATTTAACATTAGAAATTCAATAAAACATGAGGACATGTATTAGTGTGTTTGTAAAATAGAGAAAAACTCTAGGTTTGCAGTTACACTAAGGATTTTTGGTGGATGATCTAAAAGTTGATGACATTCACCAATGTGAATAAAAAACCGGTGATTAGAGACATTGTGGCAATACTCTGCTTGTATTACACACAGACCTGTCTACTCAAGATTGGTATGGCAGAATTAAGATTAAATGCTTAAACTAACATGCAAAAACAACCATCATTTTCTCTAACTAACTTCATTTTGCTCTGGAAATTTTTATTTCCAATGATAATGGGGCATGTGTAGGGAATTTGGGAGTAGGGATAGAAAACCAACCAAAGGCAAATTGCTGAGTAGACTTGCCAAGTTTATTATCTTCCAATTTAAAACTGTCAGTTTACTGTACATATTAAATCAATTGAAAGTTCAAGCTCGTTGATAATAAGGTGGCCATTTATTGTCCAAATGGATAATTTTGCTAAAATAAAGACATTACTTCATTCATAGCAGGTGAAAATTAGGAAAAATGAATATATGGATTCCATCTTTTAGGCATGTTTTTCCCCTCTAAGGGAACTTCCCTGTTCCTCCTTTTTCCAAATATAGAATCAGAGTATAGAAAGAAGCTGATTTACCTTTGTGGAAGTAAAGAGAGGAGCCAAACCATGTTTGGCTCCCATGCTGTCTCTAAGTTCTTACATGCTGCAATGAGATGCCATTCATCCTGTAAGGTAACGGGTACCTGAGGGCTTATGTAAGTGGTGCCACTTGGATCTTTTGAAGCATTTTGCTGTAGTCTACACTTATGTCTAATCCAGACACCTTTTGTTTCAGTTGTGGCACTGAAGAAATTCTGGATTCTCGTACACATTGAAAAAAAAAAAAAGAAGAAGGGGGTAGTAGCAGCTAATTCTGAGGAAACAGATGTTTTGTTGTTGTTGTTTTTAAATTCAATTTTTCTCTTCTTATTCCTGTAAGCTTCACTATCCAGGACCAGAAAGGCTTTCTCCATTTTTGCCTTTTAAATTACACCCACGATTCACACAAAACCGAAAAAGAGAAGCTACTCTTCAGCTTCTTAAATGGCTGCTCAGTCTATTGCCCCAAATTAAAACTGAGCAACTTAACTACCATATCTGCATGATAGAGTGGCTGCATATACAAAAAGCACAGAGTTGTCACTTAACTCCATATAATTTTATTTTTACCAGAAAATTATATTTCTGAAGAGACCATTCAGGTAATGAAGTAATTAGAGAAAGACATGGGAGACAGACATGAAAATTACAGTATTTGCCTTCTAAAAGGAAAAGACTATACTCAAGATATCTGCAACCACAAAAGTTAAGGATTAAAAAGACCACCCACCAATTCTATTTGCTGAAGTTTGATGACAAATTGATATAAGTGGATTTCCCTAGCTCCACCACAAATTGTAAGATTCTAGTATCACTGTGTTCTTCATATTTGGCTTCAAATAGCGAATGTGAAAATATAGTGCCTGGCAGGGACTAATTATTCAAAAAGTGTTTGTTTTTTATATTTTCTATATTTTTCCTCCCATCTATCTAACCAGCTATGCATCCATCTAATTATTCTACCTTTGATTTTCTTTCTCATTTTGCCTAACCATGCACTTCTATCTTTCATCTGCTCAACTAAGAAAATCAAGGCCATCCAAGAGAATTGTACTTTCTCATCTTCAACTTGAAATATACTTTTTTTTTACCTCCACTTTCTTCTCCTTTGCCCATTTTATCTCAGAGGAAGAGAAAGCACTTTCTTTTCCATTTTTTCTTCCCTTAAAAACTTTTCTCTCATGCAAGGCCTTGTTCAAATAATAGATGCTCTGTAATTCTGTCCCCATCTCCCTCCTTTCTTGATTTCCCATTTTGTATTTAACCATCATTTTTTGAATTCCTAGAAAAAGTGCGTCATCGTTGTACTAACTTTCTTTTTTCCTAATACCACTGTATTACATAGCTGAAACCTTTACTAAATTGTAAAATCTTTGAATTAAAAGATAATTTATCTCTTTAACTTGACTATTAGTGTTTAGTAGACTCTGGATAGTGAGGATGCTCAGTTGATCTTTGGGCTGAATGATGAAGATGATACAATCAATGCACTGTATTACCTTTTAAATTGCCACATCCCTGTACCTCCAAGTGAAGGATCTCAGCTGGTTTATCCCAGGCATCTAAAATGTAAAACTGCCTTATATCATGATTTCATTTAGATCAATTCATAAACTAAGAAGCATATCAGAATATTTTTGTTAAAATAGTATTATACAAAGAGAAAAATTTAAGTCCTTCATGCCCAAAAAAGATAAATATATTTATAAACTTGAAACAAAATAGAAGGAGTGAGTGGGATGATGTCATCAACCTGCTTGGGTCTGCTTCTGGGCAGGCATGGCTGGGAATTCAGCTAATGTGGTTAATGGAACACATGTGTTCCAGGCAAGGTGGCAAAATGGAACTTGGATCACTGTTTCACATAACAGATTAAGTGGAATTCTGTTGCCTGGGAATAAGCCTTATAAAAAGCTCCCCAAGTAGGGATCCAAGAAAACAAAAAGGAAAAGATAGTTGACTGATCAGAAACTAATCTAAGTTGCCTGTTCTAAAAAAAAAAAAAAAAAAAGGAAAAAATGGGAGGGTAATGGTTAATTTGTTACTTCAGTGCTTATACTTTTAAGAACTGTAATTTTTATTATTTACTATATGCTCTGTTTATTTTCTTATAACTAATACAAATCTTTTAAATGACTCCACGTGGCATTATAACTGTTTCATAAAACCATGATTAAGCTGTATTAGAAACTTGAAAAGATCTTATTAGATATTTAGAAATCCAAATGAGGCATTTTATACAATATTAATATTATACAAGTATACACATCATATCCTTAAAAAGTTCTGACCAAAGAAATGTGCATAGTTTGGTGGCACATAGTAATGAAATAGGAAATACTACTGACTTACTAATAGTTTAAAGATTGTTGGTTGTACAATTTATTATAGAGATAAGAGCAAAGGTTGTAAAAAGTCTTAAGTTAGCCATAATACTGCTCTTATATTCCTCCCCTGCTTTTCAAATTCTTCTGACACTAACAAAAAATACTTTATAAATCTAAGAAACTCCAATTCTACTGATAGATCTCTAAAATATTGCTTCCCTCAAAAAAGAGCTCTCCCTCTTCTCTCAGACTCAAGAAAAGCAGTTGGATAAGTAAAATGGTAAAACATTCTTCCTTCATCCCACTGGAAAGAATCATTTGTACTTTTCAAATTATCTTTAAAGATTTCCAAAAATATTTGCTCTTTGAACAGCCTCAGAAGCTCTGTGTTTTGGGAGGGTATGGGATATAACAGGGAGTGGAAGAGCACTATGTAGAATGCAGGCTTCAGATCCTTATCCATTCATTTCCTTCTGTCTGACATGTTTCCTCACCCGCTCACCAGCATCCTTTCGAAAAAATGTTAAATGTCACTCCTTCAAAGAAGCCCCTCTGACAACTGAAGCAAATCTAAGCCTCCAGTTACATACTTTCCTGCCAAATGCACTTCTCCACCACAGAAATCGCCACAGCTTTAATTGGTTCTTGCTTGTGAAATAACTGGCTCTGTCTCTTTCCCATACCGTACTCTCTGCTGCAGCAGGAGGACAGAGACTAAGCGCTCGCTGCTGCACCTGATGCTGAGCAGCAACTCAATGAATATTTGATGAGTGAATAAAGAGAAGGTAAAATATTTATGGGCTTAACATATAGAAAATGTCTAACTTAGACAAATTACACTTTTTCGTGTCCCTCTATCACCAAGATGAAGGGGGTGTGCATGCTAGAAGAACTAGCTTCACCAATAGACTTTACCTACCAAGTTAGAGCTCTTGCACATTCCTCCCACAGCAATCCAAAGTGAACCCTGGACAACCTCACCTCCATCAAGAGGGATTAAGAGGGAGCCATTTCTTCTTACCCACCTCTGCTTATACTCCAACACTCACAAGTTTTCCAGGGTGCCCTCTGGCATTCAGCAAATGTCCTTTCATGCTCAATCTCTTCTGTGAACATTCTACTCACCTTCCACCTTTAACAGATAAGTCCTGAAGGTGGTGCTTCCTCCACCATCCTTTGCAGCGGTAGCTATTTGTTTCAATATCATGGGATATTGACTCTCTTTTTCTATCATTGCCCTTTTCACACCATTTTCCTCTGTTCATCTCTAAACTCTAACATGCTTTAAAATCTCATGTTATCAGGTCATAACCTGAGCATTGCCATTACTAAAAACTGCAACTCTTCCATAATAGTTTCCTGTAGTCCACTCTCTGACTACTACTTCCTATTTTTCCAACAATCTTTCAGTCCTAAAACTTTCTTGCTTTCTCTTACCCTTTGTTTGCTATCATATTAACTGAATTTGGGAGCATAAAACTGGCTTGTTCCTGTTTGTTTTTTACTATGCAAAAAACGGTTTATATGATAACTGGATACACTAATTGGTTGAAAATAAGATATGTTATCCAAAACTGACCATGGAAAGTGGGGTATTGTGGCTCATGATTAGGATAACATATGGAGATAGGAATAAAATAGCAGTTGAGAAATATATCCATTTGTCTGCCATTAAGTAGTATTAGAAACTGGGGGAGAGGGGAGATTTAGAGACAGCAGCTTATGCTGCAAAATAATTGTCATTTATTTATTGTTAGTAAATAAATACAGCTTTTCTATTGAATAGAAAACTGATCATTAGCAAATAATTCTAAATATTATATACATAGCTTTTATAAAAGTGAGCCAATTATTATTTATAACCCACTGACATTGTTTAATTCAACTACTTTTTCATAATATTTCTATGGTTGTAGGTATATCAGCAATTCTACCAGAAAAAAACACAGGGAAGTTGGCTTTTATTTTCTAACTTCTTTCTGTCAGAAACTGCCAGATTGCTTCAAATGTATGACACAAGATATTAAAGATACAATGATTACAAAGTGAGTAATGTTCAAGGAGAAAAAAGTAAGATGAATAGTACCAAACAGCTGCCAATCAGAATTAAATGATATGATGAGGTTACTGCCTGACAGTCAAGAAAAGGACAACTCAATAGCAATTATATTACTATATTTAGTCATTTCATAACAAATGCCATTTTTAAAGTTCCAGATCATCCATGGCAGAGATGTGCATATACTATTCTTAAAACTCTTTATAATTACATATAGAAATGTATAATTAAGTGCATATAACAACTCTCAGTTCCCTGATGAAGAGACCACTCCCCTGCCTTTAATCTTGAAACACCTGTGATATACAGACTTTTAACCCATCAAATTTGATCCATAACACACTGATATCCAAGCCATACTCTGCATGAAGATCAGAAGCCACCTGGAAGCTAGGCTTATGGACTTAGTCTCTGACTATAGAAATATGTGGGGCTCAGAAAAAAACCTCCTATCAGGCAGGAATGTAACCATCATGATTTTAAGATTTTTTACATCCAGATTATAATTTAAACCACTTTTTTTCTTCTACAAGTAAGCATATGGATTGCTGCATCTAACTCACAAGAATAACTTTGTTCAGTCCATTTCAAGTATGTTTGTCATATAGTCCACCTCCAGGAAAGTTTCTCGAGGAGCTTTATTTAGTAGGTGTCATTTTCTAAATAGAGTATTTCTAGGAAAGAAAGCAAAACAAACCAAATAAAATAAGTGCGGTCAAAAAAGGCTTAGAGGATTGTGTGGAAGAGGTGGGATGCCTGAGAAGATGAAGCACGCAGGTTTTAGAAGTCTTCCACTAAAATCTCCCTTCCAGAAAATCCTCCGTGGAAGCAGAGTTGGCCGACAGCCTCCAGCACCTTGGGGTCCACAATGGCTTTTACTCCAAAGCCACACATCCTATGCTCTGCTCACAGCCAATGACTAAATATGGTGAGGTCTATAAATCTGGGCCATGCCTGCCTGATGTGGGATTTTTCCAAGGAGAAACATTTGCCTGGGGACTCCACATTGGTCTGGCTGAGGCTTTTGCAGAATGCCCACGTAGTCATGAGTTTCCTACCAAATATCCCTTCCTTCCTTATCTCCTTTCACACATGTCAGGGCTGAATTGCTGTCTGAAGGCATTCTTTGCCTACTTCTGCTTCCTCCCCTTCTTCTTTATCCCCCATAGATAGTTCCCAATAAATCTTGGCTCTTCTAATTCCATCTTGGCATCTGGTTCACAGAAGACTCAGACTCATAACATAACATAACATAACATAACATAACATAACATAACATAACATAGCCACTAATAAATAGGTATATACTACATTCTATTTATTTCCTATTATAGCCTCTCTTGTAAAAAAAAAATAATAAATCCCTCTCCTATTTAGTTCACATCATATGGCTTTATAAATTCCTTTGTCACTTCATTACTGTCACTGCCTACTTGCCTGGTTACTTCCTCACTCATTTAAGTCATTAGTACCTGTGTCATCATGTTTTCCACTCCAATTTTTTATTTGATACCATGACAATTACATGTACACATGGACAGCTAGTTAAAGGCTTAACTTCTTTGTCTTCTGCAAAATTTTCCTCCATTCCACTATTCCACTATTCCACTATTCCCCCACTCTTCAGTAAGTCATTCTACTGCACAACTACAAATTCTGTCCTCTTACTTATCTATTTGGTTTATCCCACTACAGTTGTTTTTTTTTTTTAAACAATGAAATTTCTGTCCACCAGACATTTTTCTCTTCCCTATGCCTCCTCTATTTTCTAATGTCACTTACCTCTATTCTAAATCCATATTCCACAGACCATTTTTTTTCTTTTAAGAAACAGGATGTCTCTTTGTCACCTAGGTTGGAGTGCAGTGGTGGCATGATCATAGCTCACTGCAGCCTCAAACTCCTGGGCTCAATCAATCATCCTGCCTCAGCCTCCCAAATAGCTGGGAATGCAAGTGTGTTACCATGCCTGGCTAATATTTTTATAGAGACACGATTTCTCCATGTTGCCCAGCTGGTCTCGAACTGCTGGGTTCAAGTGATCTTCTCTCCTCAGGCCCACAAAGTGCTGGGTTTACAGGCATGAGCCACCACACCCAGATGCACAGAACACTTTAAACTGCCCTTTTTTTCCAGTAACCTAAATTCCTCAGCTTTGTTATCCTGTTGTCACACTCATCTAAACAATCTGGAAAAAATATAGCCATTTATTCCATGAGTATATATAAGCTACTCAATTCCACTGAGAAAAATATATTACATAACAGAAGATAAATTTCTTCAGTGGTCTCCAAGTTCCACTGAGTGTTCAAAATTGCCCTATGTTTACTGTTACCCAGTGAGTTCATCTCCAATTTCTCACTGTAGATCTTTAAACACTTTCCATTTTCCTGAAATGTCGGATCTTGCTACCTTTCCCTTCACTTTGACCTCTTTTTCCTCCTCTCCTTCTAATACAATGACAGACCCCTCTACCTCTACCCTCCATCCAAAACTAAATGATTTTGTTTTTGTATATCATCCTCTTCAATTTTCTCAGGGATGTTATGTTATCAATTATTCCCTGTCTTTATAGTTTTTAAATCTCTTCTCTCCTTGCTCTTTCATAATTTAACCCCAAAGAAAAATAGATTAAATAGATGACAGTTGAATGGATGGATGGATGGAGGGATAGATAGATAGATAGATAGATAGATAGATAGATAGACAGATAGATAGATAGACAGACAGACAGACAGATAGACACATAGATAAAATAACTGTTTACAAATAAATGGCCTAAAAACTACCTGACTCCACCTGCCCACCTTGACCTTCATTTTTGGCACACTAGGTCTTTTTCCACTCTTAGGCCTTTTCCACTTTTTCCACTCTTATTTTCACACATGCTGTTTCTATTTCCTCAAGTCCAGTTTTTCCTCACTTACCTCAAATTGGGCTTCTGCAATGAATTCCATGTCAGAAAGTCCAATGGATTCCTCTTTATCCTTGTCTTGCTTGACATCTCAGCAGGACGTAACATTCTTGATCACAACACTTTTCTTACAACAAGCCCTTTTCTTGGTTTCCCTGATATCACACTCCACATTACCTATGTATTTGGCTGCTCTCTCAATCTCCTTTTTTGGGTTATTTTCCTATTAAATCTTGGTGAATTAAGTGCCACAGGTCACTGACTAAATACCTGTCTCTTCACCCTACACTTCCCCAGGTGATTTCATCTATTCCCAAGATTTAGATTACTTGAGTTAACAACACCAAACCTAATCTCTCTAGGCCCATATTCTTATATTCTTACTAGATATCTCTGTGTGGAGGGCTCATAGGTATTTCAAAGTTAACAGACCCCAAACTGAAACTACGATTTTTCTCTACTATTTTCCTTTTTGTGGTTCTATAACTCACTCTGTGGAATCAAAAAATCATCCTTGACTCCTTCCTTTTTTTGTGCTTCCTATATAAAAGAAAGAAACAAAATAATCAGCACTATTCTTTTCATGTTTGAATATTTCTATATAAGATTTTTTGTCTTCTTGATCCTACCTTACCCTATAATTTACCCTTAATTTTTACCTAACTCTATTTTTATTTCAAGTCTCAGTTAAATTCAATTCGATTTTTAAATAAAACCTATCTTGAGCTTCCCAGTTTGATTGATTAACTGTTTTATATATGCCCCCTTATATATTGCTGTGATAGTTAGTTTTATGTATCAATCTGGCTAGGTTAGTACCCAGCTATTTAATCAAACACAAATCTAGGTGATGCTTGAAGCTATTTTGTATGTGTGGCTAACATCTACAATCAACTGACTTTAAGTAAAGGAGATTGTCCTTGATGATGTGGATGAGCTTCGACCAATCAGTTGAAAGGCATTGAGAGCAAAATCTAAGATTTCTCAGAAAAGAAATTCTTCCTCAATACTGTAGCATTCCCCTGCCGGAGTTGCCAGCCTGCTGGCTTGCTTACAGATTGAGACTTTCCGAAGTCCCTATAATTGTGTGAGCCAATCCTTTAAATTAAATTTCTTTATGTGTGTGTATGTTCTGTTTTTCTGTAGAACTTTGACTAATGCAGTTTCTATAGCACCCGCCACTTTTTTAGCTAGCATTCAACATATGCCTAATAGTATCTTAACATTTATCTTCTCTATGATATCATAACCTCAAGGAGGGCAGGACGTATATCTACTATTGATCAATTTCCACAGAATCTTGCACATTTTCTGGCAGACATAGTACGTACTCAAAAATTATTTTAAAATAAAGTATAAAAGATTTTGCATGTCTTTTTTTTGTTTGGTACTTTATAATACTCATTGGTATTATTTACATTTTATAAAATGAATTTTTATTCACAATTATTTACAAAAAGACAAGATGGCTAAATTTTCCTAGACATAACCAGTTAGATTTGTATAGTAGAGACTCTATTATTAAAAATAACTTTCAGAACTTGGAAGTAGTATAATTTAATAAAGTATATGTTGATTGCCAATTTAAAGGGACCAATTGTACGAGTCATATAAATTAGTATATCCAAATGTATATTTCTTCTCAATATATTACTATGTATTAGTTGGGCTAAACTGTATTGGGAAGGTTGAGCACTTGTAAGACCTCTCCAGAGCCTTAGATATGTTATTGTGCATTGTGATTCACTGCAATCAGATGTGCTATACAATGCATCATTTCTCACACCTATTTGATAACAATAATGCTTTTAGTTCGTACTGTATCTGAAGGTAATAGGGTTCCAAAGAATGAACTTTGAGTAACACTGATGATTGGATGATTTATTTATAATGCTATTTAGGGCAATTTCCCCCCAATACTTGACAATATTATCACATTCCTGATCCTTTAAAATTATCATTTAATATAAACAATCTTATAATTGGTAGTATGTTTAAAACAAGATCTAAAAGTAAACATCTTGAGGTTCATAAAGATTTCAAAATATCATAGTGATTCTAAATTTCTGAGGAAAAGGCAGCAAAAAACTTTCTCCTGAAAGGTTATGGTAGTGAGAATCTTTCTATGTCTTGCATTATAAGTTTTAATGTGTCTTTCATTGTAGAAGATCTTTATGTTCTTGCATTTTTGGATATTATTGAGATTGAATGTTTATTACGCATACTTACAACTATAGTCATAAATGTATGTAAAAGTGGTGTCATTTATTAAGGAGTTATTGCTTTGAAATTTTAGTGTTTAGAAACATTACTTCAAGTGCTTGCTAAAAATACTGAATTCTAGATCCAACTCTAGAGTTTTTGATACAGTAAATCAGAAAAAAATGGCTCAGATTGTACATTTTTAAAAAGTCTTTCAGATGATTTTTCAGCCGCTGAAGTTTTTATGCCCTATTATGTCTGAGAGATAGGTCATATTTCTATTAGTAACACTGGCTCACTAATTTCATGATTAAACTCTGGGCAGAGAGTTAGTCCCTACTAGACATAGAAAAGTGTATTAGATTTTGGAGCCCAGAGAGCCAAAGTGATCATAAGCAAAAAGAACAAAGCTTGAGGCATCACACTACCTGGCTTCAAACTAAACTATAAGGCTGCAATAATCAAAACAGCATGGTACTGATACAAAAATAGACACATAGATCAATGGAACAGAATAAAGAACCCATAAATAAAACCACACACCTAAAACCATCTGATCTTCAACAAAGCTGACAAAAACAAGCCATGGGAAAGGGACTCTCTATTCAAGAAATGGTGCAGGGATAACTGGCTAGCCATGTGCAGAAGAATAAAACCATACTCCTACCTTTCACCATATATAAAAATCAACCCAAGATTAATTAAAGATTTAAATATAAGACCTTCGACTACAAACCTAGGAAATACTCTTCTTGACATTGACCTTGGCAAATAATTTTGGCCAAGTCCCCAAAAGCAATTGCAATAAAAGTAGGACCAAATTAAAGAAACTATCGACAGAGTAAACAGACAACCTACAGAATAGAAGAAAACATTCACAAACTGCATCCAACAAAGGTCTAAAATCCAGAATCCATAAGGAACTAAAATAAATCAACAAGCAATAAACAAATGATTCCATTAAAAAGTGGGCAAAGGACATGAACCGATACTTCTCAAAAGAAGACATACACGCAGACAATGAATATGAAAAAATGTTCATCACCACTAGTCATCAGAGAAATGTAAATCAAAACCACAATAAGATACCATCTCACACCCGTCAGAACGGTGATTATTAAACAGACAAAAAACAATGATGCTGGTGAGGCTCGGGAGAAATAGGAATGCTTATACACTGTTCGTGAGAATGTAAATTATTAATATTTCAGCCACTGTGGAAAGCCATTTGGAGATTACTCAAAAAACTTAAAAACAGAGCTACCTTTCAACCCAGCAATCCCATTATTGGGTATATGTCCAAAAGAAAATAAATCATTCTACCAAAAAGACACATGCATTCATACATTCATCACAGTGCTGTTCACAATAGCAAAGACATAGAATCAACACAGATGCCAATCAATGGTGGAACAGATAAAGAAAATATGGTGCATATATACCTTGGAATACTATGATGCCAAAAAAAGAACAAAATCATGTCCTTTGCAGCAACATGCATGCAGCTGGAGGCCATAATCCTCGGTGAATTAATGCAAGAACAGAAGGCCAAATACTGTATGTTCTCACTGATGACTGAGAGCTAAACTTTGAGTATACATGGTCATAAAGATGGGAATAATAGACAATGTGAACTACTAGAAGGGGAAGGAATGGAGACAGGCAATGGGTGAAAAACTACCTATTGGACACTATTCTCAATACCTGGGTGACAGGATCATACCCCAAACTTCAGTTACAATTAAAACTATTTGTATCTACCACTGAACAAATGTCACAAATATACCCATGTAACAGATCTGCACGTGTCCTCTGTATCTAAAATAAAAGTTGCAATTATAAAAATAAAAGAAAAAAATAAGAATTTTTGAAGGATGTGACACAAATGTTTAGAAAATAACCTTGACATGCCCACATAACAGAATCTTTCCAATGGATAATACATTTTCCATTCTATCCTATATCATCTCCCACTGGGAGTACCTATTCTTAAGTATATGGAAACATAATACTGCCTTGGTTTACAGATGTTAGACCGGTGTTTCAAAATAAAATGTTTACAAGAAGATTACATTTATTTTCTCTTAATATAAACACATATATCACTGTTGCAGAAATACATTTTTGTTATAATTAGAAAAATGGTTGTAAAACTAAATAATATAACAACAGGAGTACTTTTTAGCTAACAAAATATATTTGAAATAAAAAAGAATGTTTACAGATGTGAATATATCTCATTGGCTTTCTGTTTAATTTGATCTACAAATATTTTCCAATTTCTGAAAAAATTTCAAAATTCACAACTTTTTCTAAAATTTAGAAGTACAAACTCCAAGAGAATTTGAAATACACAGCAAGGAATGCAGTGATAAATACTATGGAAATCATCTGCCTTTCCTACAGTTCCCATTATGCCAAAATAATGCTGAGCTTCTGGAATCATATTTGCCCTTATAAAAACAGAAGATTAATTGACAATGATTGTCATTTGTATCATTTGGATATGCCTTCATTTTTTGCCTTCACTTCTGCAAAATTTGTTTTTTCAACTTAAACTCAAATTGAGGTAGGAGGTGGGACTTGACTCAGGAGGCAGGACTTAACTGCAGAGACAGGACTCAGACATTAGATGAAATTGAGGACCAACTAAATACAATTGCAGGATGTATTTGCAGAAAGAATGTTTACAGATGTTCACATCTGTAAATATTGGGATGGGGCATGAGTAGCTTTCCATAAGACATGCCCACCAGTGTGCCATGTCGTTTACCCTTGCCAGAACAACACTCAGATGTTACTGCTTCTTTAAAGAACATGACAATGACCTGATGACTTGGAAATTACCACCCCTGTCCTATAAATGTCTGCATAATCCACCATTTAATTTTCATATAATAAAAAGTGGGTATAAATACGACAGCCAAACTGCCTCTGAGCTGCTACTTTAGGCACACTGTCTGTGGGGTTGACCTGGTCTGAAAGGAGCAGTACCTCTACAGCTGCTGTATACTGCTACTTCAATAAAATTTGTTGTCTAATAACACTGGCTGCCTAAATTCTTTCCTGGGTGATGGCAAGAACCATCCTGGGCCAAGCCCAAATTTTGGGGCTTGCTTGCCCTAAATTAAAATGTTGAAGCTGCTTGAGATGGCCACATTTTTGCCCCAAAAATCCTAGAGAAAAAAAAAAATCATTACTCTGGCCCTTTGGCATTAGATTTGATTGATTGGTTTATTTTTTAATTTATTAATGAATTCAACAAATTTTTATTGAGGAAAATCTCTGTGTATAAGGTTTCAAACACCAAAAAAAGGGCATAAAATGCTGTAGATATAAAAATAGGCATGTGATTTCAGTGGGATTGGTCTAACAGGCCTTTACAAAGTGCTGACAAAATTGAATTAGGTGAGATGGTTGAGAACATTATAGGAAAAAGAGACAGAGCTACACATGCAGAACACACTCTCCAAGCCATATAATAAATTGAAGATAGTAAAAACAAGAGGGTTAATATGGTGGTTTTAAGCCTAGAGCCATTATTATAACTCCAAGTCTTTCACATACAATTTGCAAACCAAGCAGTTGCTGACCAAACTCGTATGCTGCTCCTTATGATTACTCCAATTTATGTTTTATGTGGACTTATCTAAGACACACAATCCTATATATGTAGTCATTGACATTTCATCTACAAAGATTAATGTGATGGATTAAATATTATGCATTAAGACTAAAAGTATATCCTATGAAGACAAAAATAATTCCATTAGTGAACAAAAACTATCAGTTCGGAAATTATCCTTTCATATGCTCTATCATAGTTGTCAAACAGCGGCAATTGTCTCAGTATTACTCCTTTATTCTTTGTTATTTTTATGAGTTGAAATCAATTATTTGAGGTCATTGTTCATATTTTCATAGGCCTTTCTCTTAAAAAATAACAAGTGAAAATTTGGGGAAAAATGAACCTGAAATTAAAAGTAAGCCACTGAGAAATAACATAAATTAAACAGGCTATAGAACAAATATTTTGAAGCTATACAAATTCAAATATTTTATCATTGAACTAAAAAATGCATAAACATAACTTCTAGCATACTTTCACTATTCATATTTTAAGGAAAAGTGTTACATTCTTCTTCAAATGCATCCTGTGTAGAATATTAATACAATAGCTGTTTGCCACCCACAATCATGCATTTAAAAAATACACAACCCAACTCCTCTTTTCAACAGTTATAAATTATATGTGGTTCATTTTCTTTTATATTGTTGTTCCCTACTTCTATAACATGTTATTCTAAGGAAATATATTTTATGCTTGCAAATATTTTATTCAGTCACTTTATTATAATTCAAAATGTTTATATAGTGTTAAGATTAAATATTACTTAAAATTTATTGTCATGAGTCTTTAATGTTTAAAATATTCTTCTCTATTGAGTTACAATTAAAACTATTTTTAGCCCACAATTGGACAAATGTATTCATTGTGTTATGAACAATGAATAAATTTATATTGGAAATGCATCTATTATGAAGATAAGGGGTAGGTTTACAGTATCCTCATTTTAGAAGTCTTCTTAAACATCAATACTTCTAATTAATATTTTTGTGTATGCCACAGTGATTTTTTCCCCTCAGAGAACACACATTTTTGATGGGTGGATGAAAGTGTGATTTATGTTTACCAAGTTCAAGAAGTGCAAGTGTGAAAGGAAAGTGAGAAGATAAGGCGAACATAAAGTATGTATCTTTATGTTCTCAGCCAAATCAATGTGAAGAAACAAATCTTGAGACTGAGGATCTAGAAATATTAAAATGATTGTTTCATATTGTAGAGTGCTGGATATTACCTGCATACTCTCCGGGGATTGTCTGATTCCATAATGATATGCTCCTTTGACTGACCTTCTATTGACCAGACTAGTAGCAATTTTGTAGGAGTAGAAGTTGTCATGTAAAAAACTGACACTAATGCAAATTATTCTTGTTAATAGCAATGCAAATTTGTTTTATTCAGTAAAGAAAAAAATTGCTTTAACTCTGTAGGAAATATAACTCCTAAACATCTTATTTTATCACATATAAAGGGTTTTAAAAAGCTTTGCATCTATTAGCAAATGCATTTCAGCATTCCTGATTGTGTGTACCTATGTGTTTATGTCCTTAAAATTCTCCTTTGAACCATAATTAATAATTGAATAAAATCTTCATCATGTGTTCAGTTTATATTTGCATAAGATGCATGGTTTTTTTTTAACTTTTGAAAATTATATTTTATTGTTTCACTTGACAGAGCCAAATAAATTGTATTACTGGAGAAGGGCACATTCAAGGATCTTTGAGTGAAGTCACATCTTTTCTAGTTCTCAGAGAGAATCTCAAGCGTCAATAGAACTTTAATTTTCCTGACTCTCCAGTTCTTTTTTCCTCCTATTTCTCCTACTGTTTATATGGTGGGGGGTGGGAGGGGTTGTTGGTTTGTTGTTGTTTTGATTTTTATTTCTAGATCTTGTTGGTGCATAAATTATCCCCCATTAGTGAGAGCAATGACTAAGATTTTGGTTTTCTGTTCTGACCACTTGGTAATTTCTATGAGATGAATAATGAAACTCTATTCGTTATTGGGTTAAACATGAATGAGATTCTGGTTTGTTGGCTTGTTGTTTGTTTACCTGTTTGCGTAGATCTCAAATCAACTGGGAAAGTGTTTCCTGCCCACTGGGAAGGAAAACACCTGATATCCGGACTAGAAAGTTTTTGGTTGGGTTTTCGTGTTCACTTTTGACCCGTGACTGAAGTGATGAGACTGCAGGTACAAGTCGTCTTTGTGACTATGCAACTGTGTTTGAAATTGAGAAAGGTCTTCACTTCTATATCCAGAGGATAAAAGTACATTAAATTGTGGCATCTCTTAAGCTAAAGAATCACTGTTATAATTTATTTTTAAAAAGTGCTTATGTAAATTGAATATTCCCAAATACATAGAATATTTTAAAATAATTTCTAATACATGAATTGTGATAACCTCTAAAAAATTCCCCAAAGGCATTTTCTATAAAATATCAAATCGCAACTGGTTTAATAATGATTTAAAGAAGAAAAACAGTTATATGACTTTATATAAAGTATCAATGTTAAGTAATATACAAGTAGGCAATTTAATTTTTATAAGATTTAGGTTTGGTTCCTCATGAAAAGTCTATTTAATCTGAATTCCTGAAAGTTTGTATACTAGGTTACTAATAAAATAAAAATGTATTCCTATAAAAATGTTTAATATTATAAAAATATATTTTAAAGAAGTTGAATCATAATTCTCTCAATCTTTTTATTTCAACTATAATTTTGTTTTATAGTTTGTCAGCTTGAACAAAATTTTCAAGATCTTTAGGTAACTTAAAACTTAGCTTAATATTACATTGAGTTACTTATCATGAATACATAATATCACAATAAAACACTATAAATTATTGATTACCAAGCATAAAATTAAGTTTATTTTTATTGTCTACAAAACATGAGTACATAACAAGTACTGGAGAGTATAAAAGAGGAAATTGTATTTGCCTTGGATTATAAGACTTAGCTAAAAATCAACCATTAAATTGTTAATATTTTCCCAGTTTGCTCAGTTTTGATGGATTTATTCATAAGATATCCTATCAATCATAATCTCAGGACACAGCTCAGAGCAAGTGAGGAGGGGATGGGCCTGTCAAATATTCGTCCCTCTTCCTTTATCCATTGAATCACTTATGCATTGACAATTTCTTGAGCACCTATCACAGGCCATTGATTGCATTATGTGCTCAGGGGAAACAGATGACTAGAACATTCAGGTCCTCAACATATCCTGTTATAAAAGTTAAGATCTGAACAAATAATTAATTAGAATAAAGTGGATTTAGTAATATGCTTATTTTCTTACAGGAACTCCAGCCTTGTCAAACTCTATTACTTCTGTTACTCTCAAGATCTACTTGGGCATCGCAACATTCATAATATATTTTTTAAATTTCTCCTTTACTTCTGCCCTACAGAAATCAATCACTTCTCAGGACACACCTAAAACTTTTGTGTCTTTTATATTAAACTTCTGCTATAATGCAATTATCTGTTGACATATTTGCATTACCTAAATAAATTGTTTTCTTCCTTAGCTAAACAATTTGTTAAAATACAAAGTACATTGTTTCATAGGGGAGAATAATTAACTTTAATTTGGGAATGCCATGTAAAATATACATTCTGATAATGGCAAAATGACGGTAGACAAAGAATACAATTTTCTGATGAGGAGAAAATTTACAGATTATTTGTATCAAGAATTTGGCACATAAAGTTATACACAAAGTACATGCAGTCACGAAATATTTATTGGTTATATACTAGTTTCTATGCTATCTAATGTGGATTACAAAGAAATCCAAACCACATAACATCATAATTATTATAAAAAGAATAATAGATTATAAACTACCTTTAGGGAAACATATCAGTTATTATTGAAAATTGTTTTATACAGACAAGGATTATTTTATCAAATATATTTTTCTCCAATTAGTTATTATACTCCCTTTCTCCTTCCTTCCTTCCTCCTACCTCCTATACTTTACCTCATTTGAGATTTACTCAAATGAGGTAAAATTAACCAATTCCACAGACTTCAAATTTATGACTGATGCTTTGTTACTAACAAGTAATGGCAAATATACTGTGAAATCAGAAGTATAAAATGTCAATACATTATTGTGTCATTCAAAAACAATTGTGTGTGATAACATGCAAGGAGAATATGTTTTCACTGAGCTATATCTTACATAAATTATTACAAAAATAAACATTACTTTTTTTATTAAGACTAATGTGAAACATTTTACAGAGGTATTATTCAACCCAAGGAACAAACTGCAAAATGAGGGAGAACAATGACAGATAAAGCTGAAGATAGACTCTCTGACTTGTTATAGAAATGGCATGATGAGAGTGACAGATTTGGATATCTGAAAGAAAAACAGGGAACTAAATTGTATTGGATAGCTTTTATGAGCAGACATTGAAAAAATAAGGTTTACAAATTTTTTCTAAGCAAATATGCAAAACAGCACTATACACCTGGTACTTTATCCAGTTTTACAGGAGGACACCTAAGATGCAAAGCAGTTAAGCACATGTCCTGAGATCAAAAAATGAATAATGAAGTATAGTAAATTCTTATAATTTTATGTTGCCTTGGTGTTCATTTTGAATACAGGTTTAAGTTTCTTATAGCAAAAGCAGGGTTTGGTCACCCTTGACTCAGTTTCCAGTTCTACACCACACCCAAATGCCTCAATCCAGAGGCTCCAGATAAGAGCTTAGATGCATCTCTCCTGCCTAGCAGACCAGGTTATCCATTTTCCGGCTACTTCCTTTAAAAAAACTATTCAGGTATTTTCCCGCAAACTTAACATAATCTACACCCTATGCCCTTATGTATCCTGCTAATTGCCACATGTTCTCTCTCTCTCTATGCCTGACTCTACATTTCTGCCTTGCATGACCTGGAGACAGAGAACTGTCCTCCTGACTCATTGTGTTCTCCCTGCCTAGGATCCATAAGTAAAAAGTCTTTGAGCTTGTTTCTTACTGTGGTGGTGTATCAAATTTGCACCTTCCATGCAAAGAACTACAGCTTCCCCAGGCCAGAATTTCCCTGGGATGCCAGGAAGAACAAAAAGTCAGGATCCCAGTGCTGCAGCAATGGTTAGGCAGGCATAAACTGAACAGGGATCAAACAAGAGCCACAAGGGCATCTTCCAATATAAACACCTTTCCTGTGTGCGAGACCCCCTGGTCACGGGTTTGAGAACTAGACATTAGGCTGCCTAGCAGGTAGAAGTAGTATCCCACAAAAGTCACACTGTAAACACCCATGTCTAGTTCTCCTTCATTTCCCAATAGGACAGGGTTGCTAACAGGTCTGGTACTGAAACCCCAATAGCTAGAGGCTCTTAAAACACAAGGAAAATCCACTTCTAACTGGGATCAGAGGACCTTCACAAACCTCCTCTCCAGTGAAACATTCACAATTGATAACAATAATATAATAATATACATATATGTTATATCATACACAAAATCATGTACCTAATTATACATATATGTGTTAGCATTGTTTTATTATATATCATGTATCTATAATCTTATATATGATGTTATATGTGTAATGATATAGTATGTATATATTATACATTAATGAAATATAATTATGTATATATTATATATCTACATTTAAAGTCTCCAGAAATTGTTCTAAGATATACAGCAAATTATATGTATTTTTTTTCAAGAAACACAAATCTCAGTAACAATAGCAAGCATCTATGTAATTTGAACCTTAACCCATACCCTCCTTCCCATTAGCTCCAGAGCAGTGGTGCATATTTTGCCCAAGAAGAGAGCCAGGTAATAAGAACTGAGAATTCTGAAGTTCTGCCCAAAAGAGTTAACTTTATTTAGAAAAGAATGTAGGCAAGTTCAAGTTGAAGGGTACTCTCTGAAATAATGGAAATTTTATTGGTAAGCAATTAAGTGGAGACTGCTAGCTCCATGATGTATTGTTGGGTTTGCAGCATATATAATGATGTATGGTTGGGTTTGGAGCATATATACATATAATATGTACAAAAATTAGAGCATAAAATGGATAAGAGGAAATAGAGCTTTCTAGGATTGTTTCTATATTAAACTAAATAAGTGGCCGGGCGCGGTGGCTCACGCCTGTAATCCCAGCACTTTGGGAGGGCGAGGCGGGTGGATCACGAGGTCAGGAGATCAAGATCATCCTAGCTAACACAGTGAAACCCCATCTCTACTAAAAATACAAAAAAAAAAAAAAAAGAAAGAAAGAAAGAAAAAGAGAAAAAAAAGAAAGGAAAAGAAAAATCAGCCAGGTGCTGTGGCAGGCGCCTGTAGTCCCAGCTACTCGGGAGACTGAGGCAGGAGAATGGCATGAACCCAGGAAGCAGAGCTTGCAGTAAGCTGAGATGGTGCCACTGCACTCCAGCCTGGGCGACAGAGCTAGACTCCATCTCAAAAAAAAAAAAAAAAAAAAAAAAAAAAAAAAAAAAATCCTAAATAAGTATAAATATGAAATAGATTCTTATAAATTAAGATATATAAGTCCTAAATCAACCACAAAGAAAATAACAAAAAATACAAAGAAAAATCATTAAATTAAAATGTTACACAAGAAAATATTATCTTAATGCAAAACTGGTAAAGGAGAGAGGACAAAAGAGACATTAGAAAGATAAAAATTAATTGGCAGATGTAAATTTAACTATATCAATAATAACATTAAATTCTAATCTGTTGTACAATCAAATCAAAAGGCAGTTTATCACACTGGATTAAAAATAAAAAAAAAATTCAACTGCCTGTTTTATCTAGAAAACCCAGTTTATATTCAAAGATACAGGAAGGTTAAAAATAAAGATAGCAAAAGATATGTCAGGCAAATGGCCATCACAAGACAGAGAGGCTATACAGAAATAAGGAATAGTAGGTTTGAAAAACAAAAACAATCACTAGATATAAAAAATATATTTTATAGTTATATTGAGATCAATTTTGTTATTCTAGTTTAATAATGTTAATTTATCAAAAAAGGAACAATTATAAATATATATGCACCAAACAACATAACCCCAAAATATGAAGCAAAAAATTACAGAATTAAAATGTGAAATGGAGAATTAGCAAAAAGAGTTGAGGACTTCAGTAGCTCACTTTCAATAATGGATAAGACAAATAAGCAGAAGTTCTATTAGGAAATAGAAGACTTGAACAACAATAGGATAGATAGAACTAAGAAGTCTTTATGGAACACTCCACCCAAAATAAAGCAAAATATACACCCTTCTCAAGTACACATGGTACTCCAAGGTAGTCTACATTCCAGGCCATGAAACAAGCCTCAATACATTTGAAATAATTCAAAGCACACAGAGCATGTGCCTTGCTACAATGGAATAACATTACAAATTAATAACAGAGTTGAGGTTTTTTTTTTCAAGATGGCTGACTAGAGGCATTGAATGCCAGTTTTCATAAAGAAGAACCAGAGTTGCCAGTTAGTAATCACATCCTGAGTGGAATACCGAGGGAAGAGTGCCACAGTCTATTAAAGAACCCATGGGAAAAAGCTGGGGCACACAAAAAGAAGGAAGCAAGAGTCTGGCAGAGATTGACCCCTGAAGATCTTGGAGTCCCATGGATAAGGTAGATGGGGGTACTTTATGCTCCCCTCACCCCTGTGTCATACTGCTGATTTCTGGAATGTCAGAGAGCCCCTCTGCCCTCATGAACCCAAGTACTGCTGTGGGTTGTGTTTACAAATTTCTTGAGGGCAAAGCACTAGGCTGCTAGCTCATGCAGTTTTACCATCCCTCCACTCTCAAGACCCAAGCTGAGGTAGTAGGTGCCATACCAGTTGGGCACATATTGTGGATCTCTATCCTACCCAAAGAGTCTCAGCTCTTGCCTCAACACCAGTAGATCCCTTATAGACATTCCTTAGAATCTACTTGGACAGCAGCAACCAGAAAGGACCAGCAGGATAAAGGGGAGCTGTGGGATTCCCGGAATTCTAACGTTCAGGGTGAGCTCTCCCTAGGGGAAGGGAGAGTGTCACATGCCGAAGTGCCCTTGGAACAACAAAAACCGGAGTGTGCACTCTCCTCTGCACAAGAGCTCCCCACTTGTGAGCTGAAGATTACTGCGCCCATTGCATGAGAAATGTGGGCATGGTGCTAGGCTATGTCAGGGAGAGTGTGGTTCCATCCCAGCAGCAGGTGGCACTGGTGCCTGGGAACAAAGATGGATAGGGGGACTTCTGCCTGCCGACCCACAGCTGCGGATGCAGCTGCAGCTAGCTGTTCTTTCGTGGGGGGCGTTGGCATGGGTATGCCTAGGGAGAACCATTATAGGACTATTAGGAGGAGTTGCACTCCCACTCCTGGTATGTCCATTAGCCCAGCTTGCAAGAATGGTGGAGTCCATCCCTCACTCTACACAGAACAGCAGCATTCCCGCTGCAGAGTACAGGTGAGTGAGCCACAAAGCTGTCTGTTTGGGGTTGAGGAAAGAGGTTTCTCCCGAGGTCATTTTGTTGGTAGCTATGGGGTAGGGATTTGCTGGAACCCTCAGTTACATTGAGTCCTGAAGATGAACTACAATGTCTATCTGAAATGAAAGTCCTGAGCCCTGGAAGAAGGGTGTGATGTGGAGGTTGACCACTTTCCTGCCTGCCCATGATGTGGAACTGGGAGAAACATGGGAGGCTTTCACTATAACCTCTCCCTGTCACTCCAGTCAAGGTGGATACATTAACTTATCATTGGGGTATCTGAGGGTGAGTTTGGTGGTCCAGCTCTGCCCAGCTTTGTCCCACCTGTACCCTTCAGCAGGGAAGTCAGGACACCAGTCATTTGACAGACCAGCCCACTACATGTGACAACAGAGCCCTTCTCAGTAAACAAAGATCAAGTATATACCACAGACAGCTGTTACCCGTAACTACCACCTAATGAACTGGAGATTGGACTGCACAATCAAATTAAAAATCTTCTGTCAGAAGAGCATTGTGCTGCGGAATAAGGTAAGTTTCCTGAGACTTCCATAACCTCAGTCCCACAGAAGGTGTTAGTCCTGCTCATAGGCCGAGTACATTGCTACTATAATCAGCATTTGAAAAAGCCACCACATAAAGGAACTGTATTTATAACCAAGGTTATCTACAACCAAGGAACTCATACAGAGGCTTGGCCCCTGAAAGCACCCAGAATTGAAGCCAAACAGCCCTACACAACATACATTACAGTTACGCCCTCAAGAGAAAAAATTTAAAAAAGTACCATCTAAAAGAAAGTAAATTAAAAAATAAATGACAATTTCTCCAGGATGAGAAGGAACTAACATAAAAACTATGGCACCATGGAAAAACAGAGTGCTTTAACCCCTCCAAAGGAACACACTAACTGTCTAGCAATGGATCCAAAACTAAATGAAAATTCTGAAATGACAGATAAAGAATTCAAAATATAGATTGTGAGGAAGCTTAATGAGATCCAAGAGAAAGCTAAAAACCAAAGAAATCAGAAGAAAAATCAGGATGTTAATTAAAAATTATTACAGATAATTTTTAAAAAAACAGAACTTCTGAAAATAAAAAAAATTATTGAAATAATTACAAGATACATTTGGAAGCCTTACCATTAGAGCAAGTAGAAGAAAAATAATCAGAGCTTAAAGACAAGCCTTCTGAATTAACCAAGTCAGACAAAAAAAAAAAAACAAAACACTAAAAAAAGGCTTTGAGAAATAAAAGATTACGTAAAGTAACCAAACCTATGAATTATAGGCATTCCTGAGGGAGAAGAAGAAAAAGCTGGGGAAACTTATTTGTGGGAACAATCCAGGAAAATGTCCCTGGTCTGGCCAGGGAATTAGGTATCCAAATACAACAAGCTCAGTGAATACTTGGAACATACTTTACAAGATGAAACTCATTATCACATATAGTTATTAGGTTATCCAAAGCCAATATGAAGGAAAAAAATCCTAAAAGCAGCAAGAGAGAAGTGTCTAATCACTTCTAAAGGGACTCTCAACAAAATTTTCATCGGTGTTAAAAACCTACATTAGAAAGATAGAAATATTCCAAATTAACAACCCTAACAAGTCCCTCAAGGGAATAGAAATTCAAGAGCAGACCAAACCCAAAGCTCAGAGAAGAAAAGAAATAACAAAGATCAGAAAAGAACTAAATGAAATTGAGAACAACAAAAAAATACAAAGGATCAACAAAATAAAAATTGGCTTTTTGAAATCATAAACAATATTGATAGATTGTTAGCTAGATCAACCATGAAAAATGGAGAGAAGTCTTAAGCACAATCAGAAAAGATAAAGGTGTGACTACAAGTGATACCACAGAAATACAAAAGATCATCAAAGACTGCTATGAGTATCACTAGGCATACAAACTAGAAAAACTAGAGAAAATTTCTCCTAAGACTGTAACAAGAAGAAATAGAAATCTTTAACAGACAATAATGAGTAATGACATTGAATCAGTAATGAAAAAATTGTCCAACAGATATGAGCCCAGGACCAGAGGGATGTACAGCCAAATGTTACCAGACATGTGAAGCCATATGATTGCCACATGAAGCCATTGATACCAGTATAAATTTTACTATAAAATTGATCAATTTTATTGATGGTATCAATCAATTTTATGGTATCAATTTTACTATAACTGTTGCATAAAATTGATGAGAAGAGAATCCTCCCTAACTCATTCTATGAAGCCAGTATCACCCTGATACCAAAGCCAGGCAAGAATACCACAAAAATAGAAAACTATAGGCCAATATCCCTGATGAATGTAAACACAATAATCCTCTAAAAAATACTAGCAAGCCAAATGCAACAGTACATCAGAAATGTAATACACCATAATCAAGTGGGTTTTATTTCAGGGATTCAAGAATGGTTCAACACATGCAAATTAATAAATGTGATTCACCACATAAACAGAATTTAAAACAAAAACCATATGCTCATCTCAATAGATTCAGAAAAAATAATTTTATAAAATTCAGCACCCATTAATGATAAAAACACTCAGCACACCAGGTATCATATAAACTTACCTAAAATAATAAAGGCCATATATAACAAACCCATAGGCAACATCATACTAAACAGGAAAAAGTTGAAAACATTCTCTTTAAAAACTGGAACAAGACAAGGATGCACATTTTTACCTCTCATATTCAACATAGTCCTGGAATTTCTAGCTACAGGAATCAAGCAAGAGGAAGAAATAAAAGGCATCCAAATTGGAAAAGAGGACGTCAAATGATATATGTTAACTGATGATAAAATCTTACAACTGGAAAATCCTAAAGACTATCCAAAAGACTTCTAGATTTGTTAAACAACTTCAGAAAAGTTACAGGATACAAAATCAATGTATAAAGGTCAGTAGCATTTCTATAATCAATAACATACAAACTGAGAACCAAACTAAGAATGCAGTCTCACTTGCAATGGACCCACACACACACACACACACACACACACACAAATATGTAGCAATACATTTAAACAAGTAGGTAAAGCTCTCTAAAAGAAAAAATACAAAACATTGATGAAAAAAACTGTAGATGACACAAATGAATGGAAAAACATTCTATGCTCATAGTTTGGAAGAGTCAATATTGTTAAAATGACCATACTTCCTAAAACAATCTACAGATTCAATGCAATTTATATAATTTTTCACAGAATTAGAAAAAACAATCATAGTATTAATATGAAACCAAAATATAGCCTGAATAGCCAAAACAATCCTAAGCAAAAATCAAAGCTTGATGTATCACATTACCTGTCTAAAATATACTACAAGGTTACAGTAACTAAAACAGCATGGTGCTGGTATAAATAGAGACACATAGATCACTGGAATGTAATATAGAATACATCAATAAAGCCACATACCTACAACCAACTGATCTTCAACAAAATTGACAAAAGTATACACTGGAGAAAAGACATCCTATTCAATAAATGGTGCTGGGAAAACTGGATTGCCATACATAGAGGAATGAAACTAGATCCATATCTCTCACCATATACAAATTAACTCAAGATGAATTAAATTCCTGAATGTAAGATCTGAAACTATAAAAATTCCTGAAGGGAACCTTTGAAAATGTCTTCTGGACATTGGCCAAAACAAACAACAAAAAATTATAACTAAGTCCTCAAAAGCAAACACAACTAAAACAAAAACAGACAAAAGGGACTTAAACTAGAAAGTGTCTGCACAGTAAAAAATAAATAAATAAATAAATAATAAAAATAAATAAATAAGAAAATCACAATCAAAAGACTAATAACCTACAGAATGGAAGAAAATGTTTGAAAACTATGTGTGTGACATAGGGCTAATATCCAGAATTTACAAAGAACTCAAACAACTCTATAAGACAAAAACAAGCCCATTAAAAAGTGGGTGAAAGATTTGAAGAGATTTTTCAGAATAAGACATACAAGCAGCCAAAAAAACATGACAAAAATGTTCAACGGCACAAATTATCAGAGAAATGCAAATTAAAACCACAGTGAAATACCATCGTACACCAGACAGAATGGCTATTATTAAAACCTCAAATATTAACACATGTTGTAGCACATTTAGAAAAAAGTGAATGCTTATACACTGTTGGTGGGAATGCAAATTAGCATAACTTCTGTGGAAAACAGTATAGAGGTTACTCAAAGAACTAAAAATAGAACAGTTATTTAATCCAACAGTCACACTACTGGGTATATACCCAAAGGAAAAGAATTCACTATATCAAAAAGACACCTGAACTTACATGTTTGTCACAGCACTATTCACCATAGTAAAGTTGTGGAATAAACCTAAGTGTCCATCAACTGATGATTCGATAAAGAAAATTATATATATATATGTATATATCTATAATTCTTATATATAAAATTCTTATAGATATGTATAATTTTTATTGATATATATAAGAAAATTTTATATATATATACACACATATATACACACACATACACCCCATGTAATACTACTTAGCCATAAAAAAGAATGAAATCATGTCTTTTGCAACAACATAGATAAAGCAGGAGATCAGTATCTTAAGTGAAATAATTCAGAAACAGAAAGTCAAATACCTCATATTCTCATTTAAAAGTAGGAATTAACAATGGGTACACATGGACATAGACAGGGTAATAATAGACACCGGAGCTATGAAAAGGTAGGAGGTTGGGAAGGGAGTGAGGATTGAAAATTACCTATTGTGTACAATGTTCACTATTGGGGCGATGAGCACATTAAAACCAAGACTTCACCACTACGCAATATATCCATGAAACAAAACTGCACTTGTACCCCTGAAATCTTTAAAAATAAATTTAAAAATCTCAAGTTCGTGGATCAAAAGACATAATATTGTTAAGGTAACAATATTCTCCAAATAGATATAAAATTAATATCTCATGTGGCTTTTTGCAGAAATTGGTCAGTTATCCCAAAATTCTGATAGAAATGAGGACTTAGTCATAAGTTTTTTGCTTAGGCCAAAGGGTAAAAACAAAGAATTAATAACAGAAAGAAATAGATTTATGGAAATTTAAAATGCGTTAGTAATTTAAAGATAAAAGAACACATCACACTGACATAAGGACATATTATTAGCTGAATAAAAATACGTGACATAATAAAACTTGTAGGATGAAGTTAAAGCAGTGCTTAGAGAGAAATTTATAAATGTAAATGATTATATTTAAAAAGAAAAATGACCTCATATCAATGACCTAACCTTCAACATAAAGCAGTGGAAAAAGAAGAGCAAAGTACACTCGAATAAAGCAGAAGGAAGAAAATAATAAAAACTAGAATGAAAACTAATGAAGCAACAACTTGAAAAAGAGAGAGAATCAAAGAAACACAAAGCCAAGTCTTTGAAAAGATCAACAATACTTACAAACTTTTAGCAAGAATAACAAAATTATCAATATCAGAAATGAAAGTGAGATGATTGCCTACAATCTAACAGAAAAAAAAAGGATTAAAAGGGAATAATATGTATAGCTGTGTGGCCACAAATTAGACAATATAGATGAAATGGATAAATTCCTTAAAAAACACAAACTACCAAATCTGACTGTAAAAGAAATGGGGGGGAGAGAGAGAGAGAGAGAGAGAGAGAGAGAGAGAGAGAGAAGGCCTTGCTCTGTTGCTCAGGCTGGGACTCTGGGTGTGTGGGAGCATTCCACCATGCCTGTCTGCTTTTTTTTGTTTCTCTTTTAGATATGGGAACTCACCTCACTTTGTTGCCTATGGTAGCTTTGAACTCCTGGATTCAAGCAAACTTCCTGCTTTGGCCTCCCAAAGTGTTAGGATTACAGACATGAGCCACTGTGCCCAGGCTGGATATATAATTGTTAACACTTCCTGGAGATAAAAGCTTAGGACCAAACGGCTTTACTGGTGAAATCCGTCAAACATTTAAAGCAAAATTAATACCATTTCTTCATAAATTATTCCAAAAAGCAAAAGAGGCAGGGACACTTTCCAACTCACTCCATGAGGCCAGTGTCAACCTGATATCAAAACCCCCCAAAAAAATCACAAGAAAAACAAACTACATATCAATATATCTTATGAATATAGATGCAAAATGTATCAACAAAATACCAGCACACTGACTCCAGCATCACAGAAAAATAATTATACACCAAGACCAAGTGGGATTTAATTAAATAATGTGAGGTTGTTTTAAAGTGCACAAACAAATAAATATAATATATTTTATCAGTAAAATAAAGGAAAAATCAGAGGACCATCTCAGTAAACTCAGGAAAAGCATTGACAAATTCAGTACCTCTGGAGTGATTGAAAAGCACTCAATCAATGAAGGAAGGGAATGCCTTCAACATTGTTTAAGGCATCTGTGAAAAATCCACACCTAATGTAATAATGGTGTAAGGAAAAATGTTTTCCCCCGATATTAGGAGCAAGATAACAGTGTACACCTTTCTCATTTACATTCAACATTATACTGTAATTCTCATATTGCCAGGCCATAAAGGCAAGAAAAAAAACACAAAGGCATCCAGATTGGAAAGAAAACCTTAAACTATCTCTCTTTGTAGTTGACAGGATCTTGTATATAGGAAATCCAGATATATCTACTAACACTTTGAGAATTAATAGAAGAGTTCTAACCCACTGCAGTATGTAAAATCACTATACAAAAATCACTTATATTTCTATATATAAAATTGAACTATCAGAAAATGAAATTATAAAAATTGTTATATTTATAATAGTATTGAAGAGAATACAATACAGAGGGATCTATTCTTTAAAGAAGTGCAAGATCTAATAATAAAAGTGAAAACACATTGAAAGAAATTAAAGAAGACCTAAATAATTTGAAAAACATCTCAAGTGCATGGATCAAAAGACTTAATATTGTTAAGATAACAATACTTCCCAAATAAACATAAAATTAATACCTCATGTGGCTTTTTGCAGAAATTTGTCAGTTATCCCAAAATTCTTATAGATGCAGGGAACCTGACATAGTCAAAACAATCTTGAAATAAAAAAGGAAACTGATGATCTTCCTAATTTCCAAACTACAGTAAGCAAGACCATGTGGTATGTAGATATGGATAGACATACAGATTAATTGAAAAGAATTAAAGGTTCAGAAATAAACCCTTACATTATGGTCATTTCTTGTTTTACTAGAGTACCAAAACAATTCAAAGAGGGAAAGAATAGTCTTCAACACACTGTGTTGGGACACTTTGATATCTACATACAAAGGGATGGAATTGTGTTTGTCCTTCACATCATACACAAAAATTAAATCAAAGTGAATTGTAGAACTAAATATAAAAGTTAAAACTATAAAACTCTTAGAAAAAAATATAGTAGTAACTCTTTAGGACCTTGGGTTGGGAAAAGTCTCCTTTGATATAACATCAAAAGCAAGGATCCAAACAATAAATAATTATAATAAATGTCATTAATAGTAAAAGCTTTTGTATATCAAAGGACACGATGAACAAAGTAAAATGATAACCCAAGAATGGAAAAATAACTTTTGCAAATCATATTTCTGATGAGGGATTTCTATCTATAAAATGTAAAAATACTCTTACAATTCAATGATAAAAAGACAACCTAATTTAAAAATGAGCAAAGGATCTGAATAAACATTTCTCCAAAGATATACAAATGGTGAATAAGCACATAAAAGATGCTCAACCACATTAGCTATCAGGGAAGTACAAATCAAAGCCATGAGGAGATAGCACTTTCTCACACTAGGATGGCTATAATCATAAAAACAGAAAATAGTAAGTGTTGGTGAGGATGTGAAGAAACTGGAGCCCTTGTACACTGCTAAAGGCAATGTAAAATTGTGCAGCCATTTAGAAAGTAGTTTGATTTTCCTCAAATGGTTAAACATATATTTACCACTTGACCCATGAATTCTGCTTATAGACCCAAGAAAAATTAAAATATACATCTACCCCAAAACTCATACATTAATATTTATAGCAGTATTATTTATAATATCCAAAAAGTGGAAGCAATTCAAATGTCCATCCTCTGATAAACAGATAAATAAAATTTGTTATATCAATGTAGTACAATATTATTCTGCAAAAAGAAGAATAAAATTTTGATACACACTGAAACACAGATGAAAGTTCAGTTAAAGCCAAAGAGCATTTATTCTATATCACTGTTTACATTAAATATTCAGACTAAGAAGTTTTATAGTCAGAAGCAGATTAGTGGTTTATTAGGTATGGTGGAGAGTGGACATTTTAAGTAAATGGGGAATGATTGTTAATGAGTACATGGTTTATTTTCAAAATGTTGAAAAAGTTTTAAAAATTATTGTGGTGACACTTTGGGAGGCCGAGATGGGCAGATCAAGAAGTCAGGAGATCCAGACCATCCTGGCTAACACGGTGAAACCCCGTCTCTACTAAAAATACAAAAAATTAGCTGGGTGTGGTGGCGGGCACCTGTGGTCCCAGCTACTCAGGATGCTGAGGCAGGAGAATGGCGTGAACCCAGGAGGCGGAGCTTGCAGTGAGCCAAGATCGTGCCACTGCACTCCAGCCTGAGAGATGGAGCGAGACTCCGCCTCAAAAAAAAAAAAAATATTGTGGTGATTATGCAGTTCTGAATATACTAAAAATTCTTGAACTTTTTACTTTAAACAGGTGAATTACATGGTATATAAATTACATCTTAATAGAGCTTTTATTTAAAAAAAAAACTGAACAAAACTTGGAACTATAATTCAACTCTGCAATTGCACACTTGGGCTTTGGTCACATGGAAAGAAAAGCTAATGTTCACACAAAACCTGTACATGGATATTCATAGCAGCTTTGCTCAAAATAGCCAAAACCCCAAAACAACCCAGTTGTACTTCAACCAGTAAATGCTTAAATAAACTGTGGTAAAACCATACCATTGAAGGTTACTCAGCAGTAAAAAGGAACAGACTATTGATTCTCATAACAACCTGGATGAACCTCCAGAGAATTAAGCTAAGTGGAAAAAGCTAATACCAAAAGGTTACATACTGGATGGTTCCGTCATAGAGGATGATTCCATTTATGTAACATTCTTGAAGTGACAAAATTGCTGAAATGGAGAACAGATTAGGCACTGTCAAGAGCTAACGAAGGGGATGTGGGAGAAAAAAGGTTATGACTGTTGAAGGAAAACATGATGTGTTTGTGATGACGGAAATGTTACCTGTCTTTTCTCTAACAATGCCAACATCGTTGTGATAATGTCCTATTGCTTTTCATGATATTACATTGTGGGACTCTTAAAGGCTATGTATTAGTTACTTCTCATGCTGCTATGAAGAAATACCCCAGACTGGGTGTAAAGAAAAAGAGGTTTAATGGACTCATAGTTCCACTTGGCTGGGGAGGCTTCACAATCATGGTGGAAGACAAAAGAAGAGCAAAACATGTCTAACATGGCAGCAGGCAAGAAAGTATGTGCAGGGGAACTACTCTTTATAAAATCATCAGATCTCATGAGACTTATTCACTATCACCAGAACAGCATGGGAAAAATCTGCCCACATGATTCAATTACTTGCCACTGGGCCACTGGTTCCCTCCCATGACACGTGGGGATTATGAGAGCTACAATTCAAGATGAGATTTGGATGGGAACACAGCTAAACCATATCAGTCTACATGGAATGTCTCTGTATTATTTCTTACAGCTGCATATGAACCTACACCTAAAGCAAAAATATTTAAACAAAACACGCATATACTGAATCCTCAATTTAAACCCATTTGTGCATTATACCAAAAGCCATTCCATTTACTTCAACAATTGATTTTACTATTGGCAGTGTCTAGAAAGTGGTAACAGATAGTTGAAAGATGAATTCTATCAGATTTGACACAGGACTAAAGGTTAGTTTCTCAACTCTCTTAAATACCTTTTATCCATCATGTTAAAGAAAATAGAAAATACAGGATTTCTTCACACTTCATGGGTTATAATGATTGCAGTTTAGATGATACTTTCACATATATGCAAATACATTTTAAAGCATTAAAGATTATGTATTTCCAGTTTTAAAAGGTGTTTGGATGACTGCACTCAATGATTTCTCTACTAACATCACAGTAAAATATATTAATATGGTAAGACACAACAAATGACGATTCACAACAGAACATTGGAACTGACACACAACTTCTTGCTGAAGTCTGAAATAAATGTCCTTAACTACAATGACGCTTAAACTTTATTAAAAATAAAATCTATGGCCCGCCCTTGCTTGAAGTCAAATGCTACTACCATGTTGAAAGGTGTTAGGCATACCATTGTTTCTTTGTCTACACTATGCCACCTATAAGTTCTCCCTGATCCAGTACACTTAGCAGTTATCCTTCACCTTTGTAGATATTAATTTTGAATCCAGTGGAATGTGTTTCCTGGCTCCCACTACTGTTAGTACTTGTATTCTGTGCTAATTTAGAGGCTACAAAAAATAAAGACAAAATAAAAAAACATAAAGAAAAAAATGAAAAACAAAAAAATAGAGGCTACAACTGATAGGAAATAACTAAGCAAGTAGTGGGCAGGGAAGACTGTCCTATTCCAGAGGCAGGTGGGAATAGTCTTCATTTGTCATGAAAATGTGGGGAAGATAAGAGAAGCCCTAAAAAGGGGGCTGCTTCATCATTCAGAGTATCAGATTTAAGGTCCTGAGGGTAAGAGTCCATTCTATCTCAGGCCCAAAGAGCCATGTTAAAACACAAAACAACAATTTTGGATCCTGAGATTGATAACTGGACTACAAAGTTTGCATGTAGGCCTGCTTTCAAGTTTTAGTAGAGAGAGAGGTTTATTCAAGTGACCTCTGGTCAACCACAAATCCCAATCAAATTCCTCTCACCAAAGATTGAGATAAACATAAAGCTATAAAAATTGGTCCAAAAAACAAGAAAAGGAGTATTATCTTGATAACTTAGAGGGAGAAGAGATTTTAGAAAATGATTTATTACCAGCAACAACAACAAAATGGAAACACATTTTGTAGTCCCAATGTGATACAAGCCTATAAGACTTTTTGAAACAGGTAGAAAAAACTTACAAAACAGGCTGATTTTCTTAAAATCAGGAGATTAAAATGAGAAATAAAAAATGAGAAAGTTATTTAATAAATAGAGGTCATAAAACCAATGTCAGATCTCACTCATTTCTCATTTTCTCATTTCTGTTCTGTTCCTGAACATGAAATCAGCATGATTGAGACATATAATATTTTCAAAAAGATGAAGACAGTGTGGTGATTCCTCAAGCATCTAGAACCAGAAATACCATTTGGCCCAGCAATCCCATTACTAGGTATATACCCAAAGGATTATAAATAATTCTACACTTATAAAGACACATGTACACTCATGTTTATTGCAGCACTATTCACAATAGCAAAGACTTGGAACCAACCCAAATGCCCATCAATGATAGACTGGATAAAGAAAATGTGGCACATATACACCATGAAATACTATGCAGCCATAAAAAAGGATGAGTTTATGTCCTTTGCAGGGACATGGATGAAGATAGAAAGCATCATTCTCAGCAAACACAGGAACAGAAAACCAAACACCACACATTCTCACTTATAAGTGGGAGTTGAACAATGAGAACGCATGGACACAGGGCAGGGAACATCACACACTGGGGCCGGTTGGGGATGGGGGACTAGGGGAAGGATAGCATTAGGAGAAATACTTAATGTAGATGACGGTTGGATGGGTGCAGCACACCACTGTGTATATCTATGTAACAAACATGCACATTCTGCACATGTATTCCAGAACTTAAAAGGATAACAAAAAAAAGATAATCAAAGAGGAGTTCCTAGACCTGACAAGAAACCTGAGTGTGTAAATTAAAAGAATTTGATAAATTTCTATTATAATCAAATCTAGGCATTTAACATGGTTATAAGGCTGCATTTAAAAATCCTATGGAGGCAAAAGAAAAGTGTTGGTACCCACAAAAAAAAAAAATCGCAAAAACACAACAACAACAACAAAAGCTCTCTTATTCTCCCTTTCCATCATGGATAGCCAGAAGAAATGATGAGACAAGATAGAACATATACATTATTTTTATCATAAAGTTAAACTGTTGATAATTTATGAATCAATGGGTGTGTATATTTGAATTAATAAAATAAGCAATTATTTTAAGTGGTGGGTTTATATTTTCAGAACACAAATTTAAACAGTGGGTGTGCTACGACTGGAGGAAATTACACATTTGATGAATAGTCAAGTAACTGCCATGTCAAAATTCTGTAAATGTGCCCAGGTGCAAATTAAATTTGCCCTGAGTTTGCCTCATATTGGCAATTTGATATCTGTTTATTTACTTTCTTTAATAAATAAATGAAATTTGATTGTTTTCTTGTTTTGCTTTAAAACCCTTTTTAGGCCAGGCACAGTGGCTCATCCCTGTAATCCCAACGCTTTGGGAGGCTGAGGCAGCAGGATCACTTTAGCCTAAGAGTTCAGGACTAGTCTGGGCAACGTAGTGGGACCCTGTCTCTATTTAATTAAAACAATAAAAAAACCTTTTAACATTTTATTCTGGGTCTGAAAAATCTGCTTGCATATATATTGTATCATATATATGTGTGTATGTGTATATATATAACTATATAAAACTATATTATATATAACTATAAATATATTTATATATAACTATATTATGTATAACTATATATAACTATAACTATATATGTGTGTATATATATATATATTAGTTAAGGAACTGATCACACGTTAAAATGGCACTGATGGTTAACACTGGCTCTGATTTAGATGTAAAAAATAGTAACTTGTGGCTTATGTCACTTACTGGGTAAACGGAAGAGACTTTAAAAAAAAAAAGACAGTTCTAAGATTCTTCAAATCATTTTCTGTTTTGAAGACACAGGAATAAGGACATAATAAATATAATTACTCAGTATTCATGCTCCTACCCAACCATTCTATCACCACTGCCATATAAAACTTAACTCCGTTTTCCTGTTTGTTCTTGTATTTAAAAATAATGTATTTGTAAAACTTCTCTAAAAAGTCAATTTAAAGGTAATAGGAATATTTTCCAAACAAATAAACTGAAAAATAAAATAAGTGTAAATTCAAACTGAGATTAGAGGCCATTTTTTAAAAATAAACATTTGTCAAATATTCCAAGGTTTCTACATTTTGGTAAACGTTCACACAGACTTCATTCCAATATGAAGACTGCCAAGCACTCATTAGACCTAATCAGGTATTACCTGAAATAATTATTAATAAAAACAACATTCTCCTAGTTGGGGTTAAGCATGTCTGACAAATATCAAAGGATAAAGTGTCGATGTAGGTGCTCAGGATTATAGTCATTTAACACACCTACTAATGTCTGAAAGATTACTTTCTGAACATGTGTATTGAAATATAACATTTGGGATCATGGTGCGGACCTCTCATGTCTAATTAATGCCTTTGTTATAATAAGAGGCAGGCTTTCAGTATCCAACACATTTTTATCCAAAATTATATGCATGTTTTAACAAAGCAAACAGAAGGAAATAAAACTGACATATTTAAATAAGCAAGTGTTTCTCTTATATCACATTTTCTCAGCTTTACTACAACATAATTATTAATGAGCTGAATGCCATTAGCATGAATCTCTGTACTTATAATGCTCCTTAAAAAATACTTGTTTTATAGGTTAAGAAACTTAGTGGAATGCAGACTGCATACAATTTTTTAAACCAAATTAAAATAATGATATTCCAACATTTAAGTCTGTAAGATTAAAGTTTCTTTGTTATAAACATTTTAAAATGTTTAATTCCTGTTATGATCAAAACAATTCAAAATAAAATAATGATAATATTTCCCTCATTAAAAATTCTCAATACTCTATAATTCACACTAAAAATGAGAATAGGAAGAAGAATCACCCAGTTACATATTGTTAGTATTAAAAATTACTTCAATGTCTCTAAAGGGTGTTGTATCAAGTGATCAAGACAATTTCATTCATTTCAGCTTGATTAAACTTTAGGCATGCTTCTTCTGGACTCTAAGCCCCTGACCTCTCTTTTCTCAGAGCACACCTTTGAAAAATTATAATCGTAAATTATTTCTTTGACTCTTTTGGAATGTAAATCTTTTTAAAAGTTTCTTGCTAATATTACAAGGTAGCAACGTTTTGCTCAAGGTCCTAGGAGCCCTTTTTGAACTGTAATCATCTAGGAAGCTAGTGTCCCTGTGTAACATTCTCTGTGGGAGGGTAGAAATTTAACTTCAGTGGGTACCTTGCTCCAAGTTGTAGAACTATCTCCTGTCATGAAGATATCAAAAAGTTTGTTTTCCATTGGGTAGGACCAACTAGCAAAAATAAATGGTTTACAATACCACTCTGCCTCCATCCCCCTCTCCAACTTTTAAACACCCTCCAGTCCTTTGAGCAGTAGAATTGAGTTCAGACTGAATCCTGGCATCTCCTCTTTACTACAATAATCGCCTTGCCTGTGTTAACTTGTTCTGGTGCAGTCATGGCTTCGATGAAGACACTGTCATATTCCTTTAATTCAATGATTAGATAGTTTGTTACGTATTTACAAATAAGCATTATTCATAATAGCTAATTAAAAATCAAAATGTTTCTTTTCTTATTTTTTTTTTCAACAGCAATCCAAGACTAAGTGCAATGAGGTGAATACGACTCACTGCAACCTTAACCTCCCAGGCTTAAATGATCCTCCCACCTCAGCCTCCTGTGTAGTTGGAACTACAGTCATGTGCCACCACACCCTGGCTAATGTTTTTATTTTTTGTAAAGATGGGGGTTGTTGCCCAGGCTTAGAAAATCTTCTGAAGTTATGTTTATAGCATTGCCCCAATTTCATTACAGATATAGGTATGTGTGTGTATGCACACACATACATATTATATATATCAGAAGATATGTGTGCATGTTTGTGTTCTCATTAATAATTATTGTCTTATTTCCATTTTCTTCACTTTCTAAATTTTTCTTAACATACTAACTTTACTAATCTCAAAACACCTAATGTTATACAAATTATGTTTTGGAAAATTATTCTGTGTATATGTTATATTTTGTAACAATTAGGGTATGTAAAATGGTTTATCCTGGCTTATTTTACTTATATTGATTAATTTACTATATCATAAACATGATTAAAGATTATGATTAATAATCTTATATTGATTAATTTACTTACAAGGATTAATTTGCTATCTCATAAAAATGAAAAAAAAAAAAAAACAGTAGATAGAGAATCTATTATCTACCAGAATGCTCTAGTTACTAAGTCTTTGACCTCATGAAATTCACATTCTAGTCACAAGAAGAATAACATAAATGAAAACAATGAATTTAGAATGTTATCATGGAAGGAACATGTGTTATAAGTAAAAAGTAAAGAGAAAACTCACTTTACAGAGGAGTTATGTTGATTTATTTGTTTGTTTGTGATCCCTTTAAATACTCTTAGGAAAGTGATTGAAATGGAACAACTGATGATGCAGACAAAATAGTAGTAAACTTATAAGCTTACTAAATGGCTTACTGATTAAATTAAGGTGTTGAGCTTACTAAATGGCTTACTGATTACTTAGATTAAGGTGTTGGCGATAGATATGGAGAGCTGTGAATAGCTTTTAGATGCAATGTATTTTGAAGGTACAACCAAAAGTACATGCTCATGGGTTAGATATGAGAGGTGAGCAACAGCATTGATGGCATTGCCCTCTGTTAGAATGGAGAATAATCATGGAATGATGAAACTGGGAACAAATAAAGACTCCATTTTGAATTTACTGGATTTTAAGTGACTATGAGACATTCTCAATATAAAAATTATTAGAGAGATGTTTCACATTATTTTAGTTTTGAAATCCAACGTAAATTTTACACTGAAAACATATCTCAATTCAGACACTAAATTTTCATTTAAGACGCTTAAGTTGTATTGATTGCATAAACCTAAAAAGCTAAAAAAAAATCAGTTAAAATACTAGTTCCATATACCCAAGTTGTTTCAAACAAATTTCCAATAATTGAACTAAGTACTAAAAGCAATTTTCCTGTAATATACACAACATGTTGGTAAAACTTGTTCATCTTTCTTAACTTTTTAAGAATTAATTTGGCTTCAAAGCACATATTCTTGTTCAAAAGTTATGTCTGTTTATCTTTCCAAGTGAAGTAATTTACTAATGCTTACATCAACTAAGAATTATTAACACTGAAGTCAAAGGAAAATTGTATAAACTGAAAATCTCTAAATTTATCAATCTCAAAACAAAGTTTTTAAATTTTACATGTAGTTTTTGAGACTACAAGTTTGCTATAATACTGCTGACAGCAACTAAAATCTGTATATTGACTCTTTAAAAAAATGTGAAAAATCACTTTTATTGACCTTTATTATGATAATTTCCTATTATAATGAATTATTACAGCTTTCTAGATAAAAAATATTTTTTTCTTTTGAAATTCAATTTAGTTTGCTTTTGTTCAGTGTGATATTAGCACAAAAAACATAAAACAAACTATTATTTTTATCTTTGATTATTGAATATCTAGAAATAATTTAATTTCATGCATCTTTGAGTAGGAATAGACAATACAGTAAATCTTTGTATTCTTTGACTCAACCAAAGAGCAATTTGGCAAAAAATTACAAAACCATTAACATTTGTTATCTTCTATTTCTTTCAATAGTTCTACAAACTGGCAATGAGTCATAGCACTTACACATATACACTAAATAATATTAACAACTGTGTCTATGACACTTGTCACAGAGTCTGCTTCAGAAAACTGAACACAAATAATTTCAGTGTCATATAGTAAAGCTAAAAGGATTTATTAGTTCATTTTCACACTTCTATAAAGAACTACCTAAAAATGAGTAATTTGTAAAGAAAAGAGGTTTAATTGAGTCAAAGTTCTACATGGCTAGGGAGAGCTCAGGAAACATATGATCATGATGGAAGGTGAAGGGGAAGCAAGACATGCCTTACATGGTAGCAGGAGAGAGAGAAGGGGTAGGTGCCACACACTTTAAAATTATCAGATCTCATGAGAACTCACTTATGAGACAGCATTGGGAGGACGGTGCTAAACCATTAAAAACCGCCCTCATGAGCCAATCACCTCCTGCCAGGCCCCTCCTTCAAAACATGGGAATTACAACTCTACATGAGATTTGGGTAGGGACACAGAGCCAAACCAATCATTCCACCCTTTCCCCTCCCAAATTGCATGTCCTTCTCACATTTCAAAACGCAATCATGCTTTTCCAACAGTGTCCAGCATTAACCCAAAAGTCCAATCCAAGTTTCATCTGAGACAAGATAAGTATCTTTTGCCTATGAGCCTGTAAAATCAAAAACAAGTTAGTTACTTCCAAGATACAGTGAAGATCTAGGCATTGGGTAAATGCTCCCATTGCAACAGGGAAAAACTGGTCAAGACTAAGGGGCTACAGGCCCCATGGAATTCCAAAATCCAGTAGGGCAGTCATTAAATCTTAAAGTTCCAAAATAACCTTCTTTGACTCCATGTCTCACATACAGGGTATGCTGATGCAAGAGGTGGGCTCCCAAGGCCTGGGCAGCTTTGCTTCTGTGGCTCTTTAGGGTACAGCCTCTGCAGCTGCTTTCACGGGCTAGTGTTGAGTGTCTGTGGCTTTTCCAGGTGCAAGATACAAACTGTTGGTGGATCTGCTATTCTAGAGTCTGGAGGACAGTGGCCCTTCTCTCACATTTCCATTAGGCAGTGCCCCAGTGGAGACTCTGTGTGGGGGCTCCAACCCCACATTTCCCCTCCACACCTACTGCAGGTTTTCCATGAGGGCTTCACCCCTGCAGCAAATTTCTGCCTGGACAGCCAGGTGTTTCCATACGTCCTCTAAAATCTAGGTGAAGATTCCAAACCTCATTCTTGCCTTCTGTGCACCCACAGGCCCAACACCACATGGAAGCTGCCAAGGTTTGGGGCTTGCACTCTCTGAAACAATGGCCTGAGCTGTACCTTGGATCCTTAGAGCCATGGCTGGAGCTGGAGTGGCTGCTACTCAGGGTGCCATGTCCTGAGGCTGCACAGAGCTGCAGAGCTCTGGACCTGGCCCATGAATCCATTTTTTTCCCCTCCTAGGCCTCTAGGCCTGCGAAGGGAGGAGCTGCTACAAAGATCTCTGAAATGCCTTGGAGACATTTTCCTTATTATCTTGGCTATTAACATTCTACTCTTCTTCATTTATGCAAATTTCTGCAGCCAGTTGCTTAAATTCCTCCTCAGAAAATGAATTTTTCTTTTCTACCACATGTTCAAGCTAAAAATTATCCAAACTTTTATGCTTTGCTTCCCTTTCAAACATAAGTTCTAATTTCAGACCATCTCTTTGTGAACATGTATGACTGTATGCTGTTAGTAGAAGCCAGGCCACATCATGAATACTTTGCTGCTTTGAAATTTCTTCCACCAAATATCCTAAATCATCTCTATCAAGCTCAAAGTTCCACAGATCCCTAGAGCAAGAGCACAATGCCACCAGTCTCTTTTCTAAAGCATTACAAGAGTGACCTGTACTCCAGTTCCCAATAAGTTCATCATCTCCGTCTCAGACGACCTCAGCCTGGACTTCACTGTCCATATCACTATCAGCATTTTGGTCAAAACCATTCAACAAGTCTCTAGGAAGTTCCTAACTTTCCCACATATTCCTGTCTTCTTCTGAGCCCTCAGAATTGTTCAAATCTCTTCCCGTTACCTAGTTCCAAAGTTGCTTCCACATGTTCAGGTATCTTTAGAGCAGTCCCCTACTCTCCTGGTACCAATTTCTATATTAGTCTGTTTCACAGTGCTATAAAGAACTACTTGAAAATGGAGATGATGCTAAACGATTAGAAAATGCCCCCATGATTCAGTCATCTCCCATCAGGCCGCTCTTTCAACACATGGGGATTACAATTTGACATGAGATTTGTGTGGGGAAACAGAGCCAAATCACATCAAGGAAAAACATCAGTCTTTTGTTTTAAAATTATAATAAATCTGTGTTTTTTTTTAACCTAACATAGCTAGAGCATCCATCATCGTGACCATCTTGTAATAAACTAAATTTTCTATTTCTAGCTGAAATTAATATTTAATAGCTGTAAGAGATACAAAAAAAACCTATGCCACTAGTTCTTTATTTATTTCAAAAATTGAAATTTTTCTCCTAAATCTGGGAGTCATTTGAGGAAAAAATGTACCCAAAGTATTAATTGGACAGTTTCTCATATTGTATACTTCATTCTAATCTTAAAAAAGGCACTGGTTTGCCATTTTTAAAAATTAGGATCAACTGATTTTTCCTATTGTTAGAAAGCTATTGTAAACTATGGGCAATTTTTTAGTTGATTAATTAAAGATCTTTTGCTTATTTACAATATTTCTTTTAATCTCATTTTTACAACTTTGTAACAAACTAATCATAATTGAAATAACATATGTTACCATCTTTCCATCCAAAAATGGTCTCTTTGTTTAAAAATCCAAGCCATTGTATAACAGTCCAAAAGTGTAACTTCAGACTCTGTCAAAACATATTTTTAAATGTATTGAACATTTGACTCTAACTTTGGTTAACTTCCTTGTTTCTTTTTTTTACTATTAAGAAAAAAAAAATTGCATATCAAATTCAGTTTGTATTTTCTGAGAATGTATGTTGATAATGACCAGTTTAATATCTTAAAAATATATATGTGACAAACAACTTTTCCATTTTGCTTTGTTGCAGCAAATTGCAATGTTCATTCATTGTGAAACCAGTTAACATATCCTTATCCAGACTCTCTTATTCTTTACTCTTCCAGTTGTAGTACCAGTTTCTACATTTTCATTTAATTCTTCTTAATAGTGTAACTTCATTTTAAATTAGAAATTTGCCCATATGTATTTTTAAACTAGAAAAATAATTTAATTATATTTTGATTAAAATAATAGTATGCATTTCAATTTAATAATCATATGGTTTAGATAGTTATAATTGTAATTTATTTCACCTACATAAAATATTCAAATAAACACATTACAATGTTACAGTAGTACATAGAAGAAATCATTTAAACTGAATCAAATCATTGCCACTGAGTACATCACTGATGTGTTGGAAACAACTCATGCACAAATCACATGCTCTATAATACAACATCTTATATGAGGCAAAGGTTAAAATGAAATATATGTTTAAGTTTATTGCAAAAATGTCTTGCACTGCTTTGGTTTTAAAATTTCAATTTAATAAAAATTAAATAATTGAAATTTCATATTTTACTCCTCAGTGCACTAGATGTATTACATGTGCTCTATAACCACACATGTTTTATTAGAAGCCATAAGAAAATAAAAATCTAGTTTATTCCTTAGCCTTACATAGTAAAATTTCTTGGAAGAGTTTTAGAGTACACTACTACTTTTGATACTTTCGAAGTTTGTGGAATTCAAAGAAGGGAAATAAGACAAAATACTAAAGTGTTTCTCTAATGGCTAGTAAAAGTAAATCACTGCAACCTCATTTCCAGGACACAGCAGGGGCAACACATTAGGCCTGAGATTAGGAAAGAAACATCACCCAGAATAAAGATGAGTGAGAAAGGTAGACGTGACAGCTATTACATGGTTACTAACAATGCAGAAAAAATAATAATAATAAATAAAGATGGGAACAGGTTAGCCACTATTTTTATTTTCAAAATGCAATAGATTTACTTGTTTCAGCTGTAAGAGTTTGACTAAAATGATTATGTACACTCTGGCATTGGTAATAAAAATCAATGAAAGGGCCACTTGCAATTGTTAGGCCCCCAGGGAAACAGCAGTCCTGAAAGTAAAGCCTGGAAGACTTGATGCTACTCATAAGCTGCTTCATTAAAACAAAAGCCACAAACAGTGATCTCAAGAATCCTGCCTGCACAAAAATTAGTTCTCAGCCAGCTTCAAAGGCAGACATATTTCTAAATTTGGAAGTGTTATCCTTTTGCTAATACTAGTATATTTGGCTTCTTGTGAAGAACTTTTGCTGTTTATCTGAAAGTTAATTATTTTTTTTCTCACAAACATACATTTGTTTCTAAATTTCCAAGGGGGCTTCTGTCACAATCAACACTTCCTTCAACACAACTCTCATCATAACTATCACCACCAAATTGGGGGCATCCTTTCTGAAACACCTCCCTAATTGTTAAAATTTTCCAGGTAGATCATAAAAAAGGTCGTGTTTAATAAAATTCATTTCACTCAGTCATAACCATCTTGGGTTGTCACCACTTTTCATTCTGACAATATGGAATCCTAAGTCCCTCAGTTTAGTTATATCTATTTGTTGGAGTCAGGCTGGGTTTTTATTTTCTGGTTTTGAAAGAGAAGGCTGACAAAAACTCTTGAAGAATGTGAATTGATATATTTAAAGTCCCACGATGTTGATTTTGCTGTGACCATGGAACTGCACTAAAATAATAAAATCCGTTTTAAAAGATTGACTATCTGTAATGTGTACATGGAAACAGATTCCTGATGTACTTTATCTTTTCAGTGAGATTAGAGAGTAATCCAGAATATTTGTTTATTAATAATCTAAAATCAGGACCAAATTATTAATGAAATGAGAATGCAACTGAGTGTCAGATTGTAGCATTAACCATAGGTAACCTGTATTTGCAAAAGTACGGTATTCATATTGGGGGAAATGGTTTCATCTGCTACCGAAATTTAACAATTCAACATTTAAGCTCCTCACAATAAGGATAATAGCAAATATATATTGGGAATTTAGTACATGTTCAGTGGTAATACGAACAATATATAAGACATATACTCTCGATTTATCTATGGGAGATAAATTCAAAAAAGCAGAAACCCAGAGAAATTAAATAAATCTGTATTGATTGAGGAATGTAGGATTTCACGCCACAACTTGGTCTATGCCTTTAATAATTATGTTAAACTATTATATTGACTCAACAATAAATTATATCCATTAGTAATGCTGTTTCCCAATTCTTTGGCTTTTATTAAATTGTTTTTGTAATAAATTGAAATGAACCATAAGCTCATAGTGTTCTGAAAACAGTCAAGGGACCTACAAAGCAAACTAATATAATGTGTAGCTTCTAATTAGCTGTAATTACAATACTTAATAAATGAAACACCTACCTTTAGAGATAATCAAATCTTTTCACTGAACTCACTTGTGCTATGGTGTATACAATAGGCTAATGACAATCAGAAGCATAATTCAAATACTATCAGGAAATGTAAAAGTACATTTTATCGCCAACCCTGAACTATTCTTTCTCTAAATAGATTTAAGATGGAAACTGGGTATAGAAAAATGAATTATATAACCATCCATAATTTAACTCAAATTAAGAAAGCATACCTTATTCTTACAGAACACACTCTTCATGTACATACACACACAGACACATTCAGTCATCTGGAGAGTTCTTTATTTATAAAATTATTAAAGTACTTCTCTGAATACACATCAATCAAAGTGCTCACCTTTGTGCATTAGGCAATTAAACAATTCTAGGCACTGCCACAGCCACTAATATCACAGCATAAAAACAAAGATTCAAGTTGTTTCAGAATAAGATCTCTTTAAGAATAAGACATTTACCATCAATGTTTGACCAAGTTTAATTTCTTAAAGCAGTATTTTTGAGGAATTTATTATATTCAGTTTGCAGTTATCAACACTTATGAACAAGCACCAAAATTTATTTTGTCCTTTTCCTGATCTATCTGGAGTTAAGGGGAAGAATGTAAAATAAACAGAGATGATTTATAAACTGTGCTTCATCCTTGCAAATATGCATGATAAAGTGGTAAGATTATTGAGCATCAGAAGGGTGCATCACTTGACATCTTGCTTGCTCCCAAGGGGAAAAATAGTACAGTATTATCTTTAAATAAGAGTCTAATATTGAAGATGGCAGTAGCAGCAAATAATAGTAAATCTCCTTTTGCTTCATAAAGAAAGAAAAAAAAAACTTAACTAGTATGTGGTATCTTCAATCAGCTCTTAATAACAAACAACAAAGTGATATTACTGTTTTTAGAATAATGTGGCTTTTGGAAAGAGACAGGAAAACAAATGAACAAATGAAAATTCAGCTGACCAAAGATGCTAATTAGTCTAAAATGCCTTTGCAACAAAAGAATAGCTTCTCCCTGAAAAGACAGCATAATAATGTGGAAAATCAAGACCATTAAACTGCCAAGGATATTTTAAATTAAGTACAAATTTCAGGATATTCACCTTGTAATTAATGGGCTATCTAAGAAATGAGAACAATATGTCTTTGCTGATACTCAAAAGTCAGAGCAGCAACACCCCCCACCCCCAAAACGATCAATAGATATTTCATAGCCACAATGTCAATAAGTATAATTTCCTCAAAACATTAACAAAGTAGAGTCTGGGTTTTTTTGTTTGTATGTTTGTTTTAAAAATACCAAATGATGCTTCTATTCAGCAATTTATATAGAAGAAATGGAATTTGTCATTTTAGTTTTTTTATGTAAGATATAAAGCACTAAAATTTTTAGAATGTCAAGGTATTTTTGGATAATATTTATCTCAGCCTATTTTTTGCATCCAAAATATGTCCTTCTTGAATTTCCTTCAGAATGTTGCCTAACCAGTGGCTATGAACTCTTGCAGTGACAACTATTATCCATTATCCAGCACTTGACATGTTAGCTCAACATCACTGTATTAACTGACTTTTGAGTTTTCTCACTCCCTGTGGGGCCCTCTCTCCTAAGACTGATGAGTTGGGACACAGTGTTTGAGCTGCCAACCTGACTTGACAAACAGCAGGAATGGTCCTTGCACAGAGTAAAGGAGGGAGGACAAGGGAGGGAGAGAACCATAGCATACTAGTGTATGCTGGAGTGGCAGGGCCTCATGCACATGTTTTCCAAGGCAATTAAAACATTGTTTCTCAGATTTTACACTTCAGTCAAGCATACAACTTCTTTATTCAGTTAAAGCGCCCAAAGCTGCGTTAATACATATTGCAAATGTAGCAATTAGAAAAGGATTAAACTTCTGTCCCTTAGATATTTTAGAGAGGCTACTTTCGAAGATAAAAGTTGCTGCTCCTTCCAAGTTTAAATACGCTAAAAACCTAATCACTTCTTATAATTCCTAAAATGGTGTTATTGCTTTCTTTTTAACCATTGAATTCACTCTGGCAGAGCAAGAGTAATAAAACTCATCATATTCTAATTTTCAGACAGCTTGATAAACCCAATGTTCTCACTATAGATAAAGTGTAATGAAGCACTTTCTTTCCCATAGGAAAGTCTTTGACTCATATGCTTTCATGCCAACTAGCCTTCACATCTGCTGTTTCACCATTGATGGCTTTAACTTGGCATGCTGAACTAGTGTCTGATGAAGCAGCTTTACTCAAAGGCACCATTTTATTTCTTGCAATGGGAACATAGTAAAATGGTGTTGGTTTCCTGTAGTCCTTATGCAAATCCCTGTAATAAACATAGGATCAGGCCTCACGTACAATAAATTGTGTGTTAGATGAGGAAAGGGGGAGGGAGACAACCTCTGGGAGTAAAAATAACTTCCTTACTACACAAATAAATCAAAGACATAATAAATAGTCATGTTTTAAATATTTATATCAAACATGACCAATTTATATTAAAACTGTATTAGACACTAATAAAAATATAATGACACTTTAAAATACCAACCTTATTTTATTGAACAAAATACTACCACGTAATCTAATGTTAACATTAGTGAATTTCCCACATTCGATATTTCAACACCATTAATAAAGGAAAAATAATTTGGGAGCGTTAGGAAAATTATATGACTATAAAAATCTTTACTGCGATATTTCTTCCAGACTTCTAGAAAAAAATGTCTGATGGACAATGAAGAACACAGCAACATGAACAAACAAAAATTTCATTAACAATATTAACCATTAACCTAACCTTACTGCCCAGATACATTGGTGATCAACCACATCAAGCTTTTATGTTTTGTTTAACTCATTAAAGCACAAAGAAAAAAAAAAGATTATCTATAAACTTCAATATGTGAGACAAACAAAAAATTAAAAATAAAGTTTCTATGTGTCCTAAACAGCCATAGCTATTTCCTAATCAGTAATTTGTGAGCAAGTTGGCAAGAATAGTTTTTGGCTTAGAAGCCTAAGTATATTAGGTATTTCATCTTCCAAGTCAGAACAGTATGTCATGTTTGAGGAACATTTTGTTTTAGTTTAGATCTGCAAAGGAATATTGAGGGGTTCTCAAGTAACACAAAGCAATATGTAAATTAGAATTGTGTACTAATTTACTTTTGCCAGTTAAAATAGCGCTTTTTTTCACAACAAGGAAAGGAGCAGAAGTAGTTCACTAAATATTATAGGGTAGTAAAATAAGCTCAGGCAAGAAAACTACATGAACACAAATCTCAAAGCTCTTGCTCAGAACCCAATTCAATATAAATCTATAGAGTAGGCCAATTAATACCATGTCCTTAATATCACTTAAAAGTCATCTCTTCTTAATTCAGTCTCCATTAGGTAAACACAAAGTCTCATGTACAATTCTCCCAAGTCTCAAATATGGACCTTTATGCTTTCAATCCCCATGATAGAAAAACCTACGATAAAGGTTTACAAAGAAAAGATGAATGTTCATTCCTCAGGTCCCTGAGAACATGTATTTTCTCAATTTTCACTTAGACATACAAAATAAAATACATCTCTGAGAAACACAAGTGCTCAAAAGGGAAAAGACTCCCTATTCAACTCAAAATAAATAAAAATGACATGAGAAAAAGCTATGTGGCTAGTTAATAGCACCTAAATAAACAAGCCAACTCAAGTGAGTAGCTATTTACACATCCTCCCTATACTTACTGAAGTACCATAAAGAATTTCTAATTGTCATATTGTAAAAGCATTCCTTCTGGATAGTGGTGGAAAATTATTAGAATCCGCGTAATAGTAAACATGTGCAAACTAAAAGACATAACCTGATTTCTAACCATGTGCTGACAAATAATTATTAAACCTTTTCCTACAGACAACTACACTTAACTAGAAATCTTGCTATATAAAATATGAAAAACATTTAAAGAATAAGCTCTAAAACCAAACATATCTAAAATTCAAAAAAGTTCTAGATAATATTTCTCATCTTTAAATATTATTTTTAGGTTAATTTTCTGCATATGCAAAGTGGAACTTTCAAAATATTTTACCACCAATATAGCAAGAGGAAAATAAACATTCATTTCAGAAGACATTTTTCAATGTGAAAAGCACACTATCGTTGCAATTTTGAGAATTTACTCTGCTAATGAGTAAATCTCTTCACAGTAAATATATTATACTTATATTACCACCATTGCTCTAAATAAAAACGGACAACAATTCTGTTTTGCCTATATTTACAAAATTAGGAGCAATCTCTAATGAATAGTATATGTTTTTAGATCTAATAAGGACTTGCAGTAAACTACCAACTTTTTACATTTTATCTCTCAATGGAAAAGTTACTTACATTCTTGTAGTATACTGAAAGCAAAATCACTCAAGCTCTCAAAAAAATTATTGCAGGCATGCCACACTAGCAATTCAGACTTCAAAACATATACTATCACCCCACCATATACTATCATATACAATCACCCCAGCATAACTTAATTTTAGAAGACTATTGAGCTGGTAAGATCAGAATAAGTGGCAGACTATAAAGAACATGTTATAGCTGTATCTGCCCCAATGCTGTAAGGCAAATGTTTTAGAAACTTAATATAATCAAGCAGTTGAGGTCATGTGGGTGAGCCAAAATGATCAATACACTTAGCTCTTTTGAGTAACGATGGTTTATGTGACGATATCTTTGGTTATTACCTTTATTGTGATACTATGCATTCCTTGGTTATAGCCGTTATAATTAATAAGTCACTTAACCTCTTTGTGGCCCAGTTTCCTCATCTGTTAAATGAGCATAATGATAATTGCTTCCTACCTTCCTTAGAAGTTGTCTGAAGATAAATGAGCTGGAATTTAGAATGTACTTTGCAGAGGAAGGCTGTAAAAGTTAAAGGAAAAAAAAAGAAAGGGAGAGAGAGACAGAGAAAACAAGAAAGAAAGAGAAAAATCTCCCAAGAAAAATCCTCTTTTGCTCAGTACCAAAAATTAAAACGTTCTACCTAGGATGGAATAACCCACTTGCTTTTCATTCCTAACTTCATTACCTACACTTCAAAATCAATGACTTTTAACAGATAATTAAAATAGGAAAGCTATAGAGGGCTCTATGTTTTGAATAAACCTTTGACTGCCCTGTAGAATAATAAAATTTTGCACATAATCACGTTATACCTGAAAGCCTCTGTCATATGTTTTCCATCAGTAAATGTAAAATTCATTGTGCCAATGGATAACTGTGTGGAATTTGACAAAAGTAACAAGGTGCTGCAATAAAGAAAAGCTGTGGCATTGATTTAGGGCACACATAGCAGATAATAATCAAATCATCATTTGGGGAGGCTGGGAAAATAGGAATCCATGAATACAGGGGAAAATATTATTTTTAATTACACGTTGTAGTTGTAGTGACTTGAAAGATAGAAAATGAACTAATAATCTTTTGGATTTAGCCAAAAGATAGCCAAACAAAATGACAAAATGTTCAAAGTATCAGCTGGCTAGTTTTAGCTACATGTAAGGTAGGACAAGAAAGAGATAGACGAGTAATCAGTACAACAGCAAGGAGATGGAGAAGGAAAAAGAGGAGGAAGAGGAGGAGAGGAAAAGAAAATTTAAAAGTACTGACCACTTTGCAAGCTGAATTTAGAGGTGATGTAGAGGGGATAAAACTTGCATGGTTGGATAACAAACGTATTTCTAATCTTCTGCCAGCGAAAGTTCTTAAAATTTTCTCAACGTGGCCACAAGGCTTAATTAAGAATCAAATTAAGCGTGATGCCTTAGATGCTTTCTTAGAACCTCTAAAAAAGTCAAGGCAATACCTTGTAGATTTTCTCATTTGGATAAAGATCCTCTAGCCCAAAGTAGCAACGATTCAGTCTGAAGAGAGGCATGCCTTTAAAAGAACGGCGTGTGTGGCTTTTACAGTATAAGTAGATTCAGTTAGACACATTTAAAGGTTAAGAAGAAATTGTACTGGTAAAAGCACTGTCACCCTGGTGTAGAAGGAACTGAGTCTGTAAATGTAGAAACTTGGGCTCTCAAGTTTCTGTGAGAAGGACAGCTGACTTGGAAGATAAATAAAGGTTTATGTTACATGTCACTAAGTTTTTGGCTGTTTGTTAAGCAATATTCTGGTGGCAATTAATAATTAACACAAGCTCAAGACATGTAAGTTCAGTGCCAAGAACTAGAGATACAAAAATGAATGATATAGATTCATTCAATCCCTATTCTCCTGCTGTGCAGTAGAGTATGGAAACATACAGGAACCAAGAAAACATATCTTGGATTAGTAATTTAACAATAATGTAAGTTTAAAAAAAAAAAACTTCAAAGAATGTAAAAGAGGAGCACTGTACCCAGACTGGGTAGATTTTGGTATGAAAAGGGTCAGGAGAGTTTCCCTGGAATAAGTGATGTATAGATTAGAATCTAAGGAATAAAGAGAATATAACCAATTAGGTTGGTAGAGGTGGATGGGGATGAAAAAAGAGCATAATGGGCATTAGAGAAAGAGATGTAAAGGTATAGAATGCAACACAGGACTAGGAATACATCAATTTGGATGGAGCTTACATTTTTAAAATATGTGCCAACATTTTGTTTAATGACCATACAAAAGAGCACATGTTTCTTCCTTTGATACTATATCTTTTAGATGGACATATGTATTAGTGCACATAATAAAGTCAGAGATTTCAGGTAGGCCAAATCCAGACAAATAATTTCTAAAAACTGGAAAACTTGAGTCATGGATTTCATAGAAACAAGGGCACTCGGTATCATTTTGTAAAACATGTGACTCACTTCAAAAATACAAGCATTCTCAAAAAAAGCCATAACACCTACAGGCTATAGCTGAGTGATTTTTGATCCTATAATGTATAGGCTTCCATTCTCCTAGCCTTTATACTTCAGGGAGAAAAGAATGTTCCTGTTGCTTGGTAACATGTTGCATAATGGTTAGCCCGGGGGTGAAACTTCAGTTCTAGTACACTAAATTCCCAGATTCCAAGTAGGTTTTGACTCCTCCTTTAATGTTTCTTAATAAAATTCTTGGACTGTCATCCATTTTACTATCTAAATATGATTAAGAACATATTGGTGATACCATGCAGTTTTCTATTGCTTACATGAAAATAATGTGAGAACCACTATCTCCTATTTTGAATTATTTTTTCCAGTCATGGCTTTACATTTATCTCTGAGGAGAGTCTGTGTGGTGTGTAATGGATATAGAAAAAAGAAGGAAGAATTTTTCTTGAAGATAATATGCTTTGAGCACCTTGAGCTCAGTGAACAAAATCAATCATGGTCTTTGGAAATGGAATTATTCGATGTTGAAGAACAGCTATGTAACTCTGCTATGTCTTTGCAATGCTGAGGATTTACACCCTTTAACACCAGATATCTGGAGCCAGCTCTTCTTGCTAGTAGTAACAAAACTGTATCGTTTTTTATAATAATTTTCTGGAAGGAAGTATTCCAGAACAATTAGTTAACAGCAAGGTCTTGCTAAATTAGTAAAAACAAGATAGAGATTCCTTTAGAAGTCAATGTCTTAGGGATGCTTCCTAGAGTGTTTGTATGTGTGGCTGTTAAATGAAAAATGAAAGAATTGTATAAAATGTAAATACACTACAAAATAGTCTCTGGTTCACTGTACAGTTTCAAAATGAGTAGGTAGTTTTTGAATTCCAGACTGCTAGAATTTTTTTTAAATTTCTTACCATAGCTGGAATAACTATACACTTAAAAAGTGAAAACATGAAATTGAAATTGGAATCTTTTAAGGCTACATTAAAATACCAAAAATATCAACATTTAATGTAGTCTTGTGAGTTCTAATTTTCTTTTCCTAGTTTCAGTAGGAAAATAGAACTCAGCATGTGATAATATTAGCAACATAAGGTAGTTGTCAACTTAGTAATTATCACTGTGTGGTTTTTATTGTGACTTGTGTACATTCCAAATACAATTCTAAAGAAATAATATATGTGCTGTTGGAAATAGAAAGCTGTGTCGTGTCGACTTTCTCAAGGTGCTAGAGGCACTCGTGTTTGAGAGAAAAACAAGAGATAAAAAAGAGTAAGAAGAAAAGTCAGTAGCAAGGAAAAGTGAAAGTAGGCAAAAATTGCATAGCAGAAAGCAATTGAACTATTAAAAAAAGAACGAAAGAATGAAAAGACAAAGAATTAAGAAAATAAGCTTAAAAATAAAAATTTTATAAAGAAAAAATACATATGTTTGGTAACTGATTTTTCAAAAATGAACTTTGCTACTAGTATATTTGAACTTTAAAACAAAATATTTGAGTCTTCTGGAAAAAATAAAATTAAAACGGAAATGTTTATGAACCAGAAATAAACACTTCTGGTGTCAAATTTTTGTGTTAGGTACAATAGGTTGTATTATTATATTTTACAAATTCAATTCAAAAGTCACTTGGATATTGGAATAAATTAAATGCATCACGCATTCACTTCCTTCAAGTTGTTGACACTAACAACGCACGTTTAGCAATTTCAGCGACTTATTTATTTTATTTTATTTTATTTTTTTTTTTTGAGACAGGATTGCACTCCAGTTGCCCAAGCTGGAGTGCTATGTCGCCATCTTAGCTCACTACAACCTCTGCCTCCCCGGCTCAAGTGATTCTCCAGCCTCAGCCTCCCAAGTAGCTGGGAATACAGGTGCATGCCACCACACCACACTAATTTTTGGGCTGTTTGTAGAGACAGAATTTTGCCATGTTATGGAGGCTGGTCTCAACCTCCTGGGATCAAGTGATCCACCCACCTTGGCCTCCCAGAGTGCTGAGATTACAGGCACGAGCCAACGTGCCTGGCCTAGCAGCTTATTTCTTTATAAAAACACAAAAATATTAACACGTTTGATAAGAAAGGAAATCTTATAAATTCTCAATATTCAATTAAGAAAAACTGATCCATCGCAATTAATATAGTCAAATAGGACCATACTGAACGTATTGTTTTGCTTATATTTGATTATTCAATAAATTTGATTAAATAACAGTGATTTTCCAAGTAAATGTGAAATCCATATCCAATACTTAATCTAGTCATATGAGAAATTCACTTTGAAAATAATTAAATTTTAAATATTTGACTAAATCTAATTTATCTTATTTTTGGGGGAATTGGATGTCCTCCAGAAATTTATTTTAAAGTTAATTTTATAAAAATTTTTACAAAGTTGCATAATTTGACAAAATACTGACTTAAGTCACATAAAACCAAATTCAGTGATGTTTTAAGTTTATTATTCTGTCTCCAACTAAACCATAATCTCCTCGATAGTGAGAATTAGAATACTCAATGTGTCGTGTAACTTCTGGCACTCGATAGAAACCTGATGAATGCTTCATGAAATAATTTATTTTATAGCTTGAATTAATCATTTTTTTAAAAAAAAATACTATTTCCACTGTACATTTGAACTGCCAGTTGTGTTTCTGTGAACACAGAAAGAAAATATCAATGTTTTAAAATTTGCCCAACCTACAAAAACTGTAAAAATACTTGGTAAGATACAAAAGGAATTATAAAGTGGTAATAGCTACCTAAAGTGAAATCCCTCAACTGGTCTACTTTGGCCCAGTGAGTAGGCAAGAGTAAGGAGAAGAGAGAAAAAATAGACGAGGGCAAGGCACTCTATATGACAGAAACTTTTTACAAGCACACTTTCATTTAAATGTTCCACAGGGCTGTCTCTCTGGAAACCACTGTGAGTTCAATGGGACAGCCCCTTTCAACTCTGTGTCTCCCAGACTATTACCTTGGTGAACGTATAGATAATAAGGACTGTCTCTGTATTTTCAGCCCTTAAATCTTGCCTCATTTCAACAAAAGTAAATGTACGTATGGGAAACATTTTTCCGAGTAATTATTCTATTCTTCTGGAATAGCAAAGTTTTGTAGAATCTGAACATCCTACTATTACAGTTTCAAAAAATACATTTTGTTTTATTCAAAAAGAAAAGCTTACTGGGAAAAAATGTTACCCTTGGGCTGATTTTCCTCAAAACAGGAACAAAATATTGTAAAGCAAAACCTCCTTAGCATTTTCAGAGATTAAAATGATTGGTCTTGATGAGCATACGTTCAGTTGTACACCTCTCCACCCCTTGAGGTATATGCTATTATTAAGAATTGTGCACAAATAATGGCGTTGTTACACTCTTACATTTGTGAATCGAGAGAAGTTTGCGCTCTATCATTTTAATTTGTAAATTTTAGGTAACCAGCAGAACTTACCTTGAAAAAAGTCATGGTTGCACCATCCTCTACTGCTCCATATTCTATCTTGGTTTGTTTAGCTAAATCATCAGCAGAGTCAATAGGGGATTCCATGCGTTCCACTGTCAGAAAGGCGGCTAAGTTAGCAGTATACGAAGAAATGATGATAAGTGTGAAAAACCACCAAATGCCTCCCACTATCCTGGTGGACAGTGCTTTGGGCATGAGCTCAGAACCTAACAGAGAGTGGGGGAAAGGTGAAACGAATATAGAGAATTTGATCAGCAATCAGATACTTTTTGTCACAGTGGCAGAATGGAATCACTGTGTAATAAAAGCTTAAATCAAAGATTTACATATTTCTTTAGTAAGCAAGCAACAACCATTGGGAAAGCAGAGGCTATTTTCAGAAAATAGACAATCTTTTAGGACATTCTTGTTTAAATATAGTGACAGGAGACTCATGTTCTACCTGAGATGATGCAAAGTTCCAATTAAAATATTAATGAGTAAACATTTTTAATAAAAATAGCATTAGAAGAGATTTTTTAGGCTTTCTGGTTTATAAACCACATTTATTGTTTTTTCATATTTTGTTAGTTATGAGGGTTTCAGAGGAAGTGCTTAAATATACTTTTGGATCCCTTTCTTAAGCTTTTTGTAAATTTCACTTTTCATGTGCATGTAGCTCAAACATTTTGTCTATCTTGTTATTTTTAAAAGTTACGTATAATAATAAAATAACTACTATTGCCCACATTTCTTGAAATGATGTGGGGTTTTAGTGTAATGTTTATTTTAAAATAAGATAATAAATTATGTTCTCCTGTATAAGCAAGGATCTCCCATCACTATGGTTAGCATCAATTAAAAAAATTAGAATAAGAATATATAGCTAAATTGTCACATTTATTTTTATACATATATAAATCTTTTATAACTATATCAGAATGTACGGCTGGAGTTGCCTGCTCATGATCTTAATAAAAGAATGGGATCTGAGAATTATATTTTACTTTTGACTATTATTAATTTTAATTCATTTAGACTATAAAACAAAATCCTACCAATTTAAAATTTGGTCTGTTATTTAAATTTTAATTACAGCTTACCACATTGTTTATATTCTTAATGCTTAAATAAACATATATCAGTATGTGTGATTTTTTTATAAGTAAGGTATACTAAATTTGTAGATATGCATATATTACTGTTCACTTTTAATCATTTTGAATCTATCAAGAAAGCATAGACTAAAAGTACTTAATTTTATTTGTGTTTGAGTAAAATGGAATGAAGCAAAGACGGACTTACAGTCATATCTTTAGTATAATCTCTGATGCAGTAAGGTAACACATCTTTAGATGGAATAAAAAATAAAACAAATTATTCATGTGAAGCTTGAAAAATAAGTGGTATTATGACTGCACTATATCAAAACAGCCCATCTTATACTGCAGTTCATCTTACCATTGCAATTTCAAACAAACAAACAAAATTTTAAAAGCAGACAAACTTGGACATGACAGCCAACTCCAGCTCCAGATTCTGCCTACAGCTCTGTAAGGAAAAAAAAACAGAAAAGTACCTTTCTGATGTAGTTGCTCCTAGGCCCTGTCAGACACACACTCGGACACTGAAACACTAAATACTCCCAAGATGATGAGCAGCATTGGCTGCCTATTTTGCTTTTTTTGTGTTTTGTTTTGTTTTGTTTAAACAACAACACCAATAAAGTCAAACAAGACTGGGAAAGAAAAGAATAGTGGAGACATTTGACATAAATGGCCCAATTACCACAAGTTCATATCTTACCCAAGGACTTAAAGCGAGTACCTCCTAGTCTTGTGAATCAGAGCCTGGTTAGGGGCTGACTGTCATGTACTCAAGGTAACGTCATGTCCAGCACTATATCCCACTAATTCCTGGGAAGCTGGGCATCAGCCAGAATAGTATGGGTTCCTCTTTCATGTATCCACCAGCAGTGACGTAGTTATGTGGCGAAGCAAATGTATATTTGAATTTTTCATTGCTTGAATTGCTTGTCATTATCTTCAGAGATAATAACATAGAGTTTTACCTCTAATTCCTAAATACTACTAATAGCAAGTTTGTCCTATGAGCATACAAATTCTCAAAGACCTCCAAATATTTTTTTAAAATATAAGTAGAAAAAAAGAATGTTTTCTTTGTCAAAGAGATATGAAACTTTTAAAACGAAAGTCTTGCTATGGTCAGATGTTTATTATGAGGATAACTCCCTCCAGACTACTAATTATTAACAGACGACTAGCAGTTTTGCCTGGGTGACTTGTATTACTCAACACTACTTATAAAATAACCTTGTGCCATATGACGGGCTTTTTCATTCACTTCTGTTATTTTGAAAGAACTACAATAATGTCTTCTAAGGGTAGAGTAAGCCTAAGGGAAAAAAAAAAAAAAAAAAAAAAAACCCTTGGACCCAAAATGTAAGAAAATGTAGGAAAGGAAAAATATAACTACTGATTCTTCATTTGAGTTATTTAGAAAGAGATGCCACAAACTTAGGTTAGCTCATGTAAAAGTTTTCTGGATTTTCAAGTTTTAGGTTTAAATATTCATAAACTATATATAAAAATATAGTTTACATATATATTAATAATTATACAATAAACATTTCAATTTAGTAGGCCATGCTTACAATATGTATTAAAGATTATTTATTGGTAAATTAAACTTTTTCTTTTGACATGTAGTTATGTATTTTCACTTTAGGAAATAGTTTATAAATGAAACAGTAATGAATTAATGCATTTCTGCATAAAATTAAACATGCAATAGCACGATGCCTTTTTTAGAAACAACATTTTATAACAACATAAATTTCCACTTCTTCAGATCTGTAATGCAATCACTAAATGAATTTCTTCAAAGTGGATATTAAATACACAACAAAAACTTAAAATCAAACCTTATGATAGGTATGATAACTCTTATGAAGAAATATGTTTTTTTTTCTTCCTTTACTGTCAGTTTTTCAAATTTGGGATTTTTTTGCTTTATTTACTAATTTTAAAACTTTAAAATGTTACATTTTAAATTGGCAAAACTAGTCTTAGACCTTGACTAATAAAATATTTTATTTTGAGTAATAGGTCTAGCATAGCAATTTGTTAAACTTTATTTAAATGTGAAAAGATTAATAAAAGAAACCATAGCATCAAATATTAAAATTCTGCTTGAAAAAAACTGAGACTAAAATAGTAGATTCATAGTTACATATAAACCATTAAGACGTATTAGTACATGTATTATCTCATTTTCTAAGATATAGCCTTAATTTTAACATGTATATTATAAAGTTTAAATAATTACGAAAAAGTATTTTTGCATGCACTTCCGAGCATGCAATATTTTATATTCTTATATGCTATCAAATGCAGCTAATATTTTACTCAAAAAGTTCATGTTTTAATATTTTAACTCTTCAAATTTATAGGCAGTAAATTTACTAATCATGCAATACAAATGCATCTAATCACCAAGAATTAATATGAAAGAGAAGATTTTACATCAAAATGAGACAAGAAACAGGAGCATAACACTGTATTCTTGTCTCAAGGAGATGTAATCTTTGTAGTAGTTTAAATGCAGCTTCTGGCTAATGATCAGGTTAGCTTGGTTATCTATGAAATAATGTATCTACTGTAGGTTAAGGAAAAAAATAGATGAGTATACTCTATGTGGATTTGCAAAAGCTAATTATTTTCTCAGAATCTCTCTTGAATGGGATTTGAGAAGGCCTAAATGCATTAGGTCGATGGAAAAGCTGGATTATGGTTACATGCACAGAGGCACCCATGCAAGCGACTTGTGCCAGCAAGAGCTGTCACCCCCAGCAAAGAGTGGGACATGGTGCCCAAAGGAAATAGCAGGCTGAATCGTATACCTTGCTGCATGAGAGCTCCAACTCCAAACCAGAAACTATTTAGCAAGGTAAAATTGTTTTCCACCACGTCTGAGTCAGGGTTGCAAGGGTGTGGATTATACCACTCATAAGGACTAAACCTGTGGTAATTGACAGAAAAAAGAATACATTTAAATTGCAGTGGGAAGAAATTCTATCCAGCATTTTTTGCTGCAAAAGAAACAAAAAGACAGATAAGTTTAAGTAGAAAGCAGAAACAGACATTTTTACAAGATTTCATATACGTGCCTGCAAGTGTTCGATTTTAAAGATCCCTGTCCTTATCAGCTAATTTCCACAGTAAGAAATTGCATTTTCTTACTATACATTATTTGTTAGAGGAAAATCTGTATATCAGTAAACCAATAACATTTTTTAAGACTTAGGCATTGTATGTACAGGATTTATAAAAATTTGAAAGCTAGAAAGTCATTAAAGTAGAAAACAAACTTAGTTGTGAAACATTTTTTAAAGACCGTAGAGTATTTTAAAGACAGAAAAAAATATAAAATCATCATAAGAATTTTGCATGCTATAATAGAAACCACCAAAGTAACAGAGATTAAAATAATCAATGCAGAATTATGTATCTAACAAAATGATTCTATGAATTTACATATTTATGTGTAAAATCTCAACTCTAAAGAAACAAAAAAATAAGAATCTACTGCATTCTAATACACGCTTCTGACATTATTATAGGTTTCAGAGAACATGCCAATCAGCATGATATCAAAGTATCAAAGCGTTGTGGTTTTTTTTTTTTTTTTTTTTTTGGAGACAGAATCTCCCTTTGTCCCCCAGGCTGGAGTGAGTGCAGCGGCACAATCTCGGCTCACTGCAACCTCCGCCTCCTGGGTTCAAGCGATTCTCCTGCCTCAGCCTCCGGAGTAGCTGTGACTACAGGTGCATGCCACCACACCCAGCTAATTTTTTGCATTTTAATAGAGACAGGGTTTCACTGTGTTGCCCAGGCTGGTCTCAAACTCCTGAGCTCAGACAATCCGCCTGCCTGGGCCTCCCAAAGTGCTAGGATTACAGGCGTGAGCCACCGCGCCGAGCCATCAAAGCAGTTTTAGAAGCAGGAATTCATACTGAGGCTCACTGTTTTCCATTTATTATTTTGTTTCAAATCTATAACTTATCTGAACCACTATTTTAAGATTTAAAAAATCAAATCTAATTTTTAAGGCCAGTTGTAGATGACTTTAGAAATCTTAACATCTCTAATGTAGTTCAAACTGAGGACTTATTAAGGTGCAAATAATTTATGCTAATTATAATCCAGATATATTTATCAATTAATGGAATTATCCATAAACATTACACCCACAATTAAATATGCTTTGTCTAATTATTGAACTAAAAAAATATTTTTCCCAGTATTTCAAATTTTAAAGCCACTCTTTTATAAACCAAATTAGAATATGTCCGCTTTGTGAAAGCATTAAAAAAAATCTTACATCCAATCAAAGTTATTTGAATAATGTATCCGTCACTTCAGAGAGCTCAATTTTCTTCACAATAATGTTCCTGACATATGAAAATTCAGAAGATTAAACAAATCATTTTCATCTTTCTAATGCAATTTTAGAACACCCTTGTTTTAATAGCCTATCCTTGACAAACAAAAAAGTGTTTTGTTTGGTTCTCTAAGTTAAACTGACACACTAAACAGAAAGGTTGATTGAAGAGTAAGTTGATTTGTTGTGTCTGACTGAAATAGAACTAGCTTTGGTTTTAGACATTTTATTTTCATTTAAATTCCCTTATTACTTTCATGCTAATGAGAATAGTTTATACACGTTTTTTAAAGTATTTCCAAGTAACAGAATGTTGGCCATCAGTCTTTATACAAGAATGTGTTCTTTAAAAAATATTACCGCTTTAAATTAACTATCTAAAACATTGATTGCTCATGAGAGACAATGTGATTTAGTGGTTAGATCATGAACGGGCTCTGCTGCTAGAGCACCCATCTCCATCCCTCACAGCCATATGCCATTAGTTCCCCTGCCCAAAGCATGAGAAAAATAGGAAGACCTAACCCATAAGCGTATTCTAAAGGATTGTATGGGTTAATGTAGTGCCAGCAGGTGGCAAATATTCAATACTTTGACACAATAATAGCAAGTAAATATTATTAGATGCTATGACTTCAACTATAGTTATTCAACCTCCAATTTTAATTTCTTGATAATTAAAACATATTTTTCCTACTCTTAAAAGTATATTAGCTATTAACATGAAACTGGTCTATAAAAGCTAGATTTAGTTTTCCCATATGACAACTCCTAGAAACATAGCTAAAGATAGTGAGACTGTGTAATTTGTTTGACTGAGATCACTAGTTTTTTCATAGAGTTCCTTAAGCCCTGAAGTATTATATAGATGTTTCAAGGGATTCCATGGGAAATGAGAGGAATGAGACGTGGTTGTAGGGTTGGGGAGATATCCAAATTTATACATATACATTTGAAAAATTTATTTTCTATTTTCTCAGACTATATAATCTGAAGAGGAAGGAAAGAATGGAAGGAAGGAGTGAGGGAGGAAGGGAGGGAAGGAAGGAAGGAAGGAAGGAAGGAAGGAAGGAAGGAAGGAAGGAAGGAAGGAAGGAAGGAAATGGAGAAAGGTAGGAAGGAAGAATCTGGGAACACTGACACTGGTTTCAAGGAAGTCTCTTGTATAATTTATTCAAAAGAGAAAAAAATAAATGTTTGGTAAATTGATATTTAAATTAAAATAATGTACATGTTTTACCTCACATTCTCTGCTTTTTTTCTTAAACTGAAGATATCCAAAAGGATAAAGCTTCCAAAAGATACAAATACAGGCTAAGAAAAATGGTCTCCAATATGAATTTCCAATTTGCTCTTTATGGCAATACTTGGGAAGCTTTTCCTCTTTCTCAATTTGATTCATTACCATTCCTCTAATAGTGAGGAAAGGTAAGTCAATTCTTTTTATCTCCGATTCCCACTTTCAAGCAATATCTCCCAACACACACACACTCTTACTCACTGGCCTTGCATTGCTTTGTCTGTGGTCTACCTTATCTCTCTCACATTAACGTGAACACAACTCTTATTCTAGCTCCATTATTTATTTTTTTAAGCTAAATCATCTCACCCCTCTAAGATTGACTGTCCCACTGAATTCTATCTTCCCTGTTTCCAGATCTTGCTTCAGTATCTGTCCTCATCTTCCAACTCTTTCGGATTCACTTTTTAAATTTAAATCATAATTTAAATCAATTGGCCTCCAAATTAATATTTTTCTGCTCATACAATTATTTGTTTCCCCAAATATATATATTAAATCCTATTCACTCCCTTGACTTAAAGTGAATTTCCACTGTCCTGACAGTAGACTCTCCAATACCACAGTGTCCTATATTAATTCACAATTTTTACTAATTTTTCTTTTATTACATTTCTTATCTCTGTTAATACCATCACCTGCCAGCATCCTTAAATGAACAATTGCAGTGGCCCTGCCACTAGCCCTTAAATCACTTAGGCTTAATATCCTTTGAATCAACTTCCATTCTTTATATTTCTTTGCCTCATAACCCAAAACTCCAGCAGTTGTCAAATTATGTCGGTAAACTTCTAGAATGTCTTTTTCATTTCTTGCCCTTCCCATTTTCTGTTTATTCCCATTGGCACTATACTAGTTCAGGCTGTCATATCCATAGCAGTAGTCTCCTAACTGGACTTTCCACTTTTTATTCAAATTTCTAATCTCTATATACCGCTTCCCAGTTGATTTTAATGTGGAATAATTCCCATAATATCACATCTCTATTTTAAAAATCTTTAATTGTGTCCATTGTCCATATATAAAATATCCAGACTTTAAACATGGAATTCAAGATTCTTCACACTTTCCTTCAAAAACATTTCAAGATTATGATCCACTTTTCTTAGCAAATGTGATCTCTGACCCCCCTTTCCAAAAAAAAAAAGCCCTGTATTTATTCTTATTCATTTCTTTGCTCATATTGTCATTTACCCTGTAATTCCCTACTCTTCACTCCATAGATATTCAAATCCTACACCCATCCTTCAATACTACCCAGTACTACCATTCAGTAACTTTCCTCATTCTCTCTTCATGGAGGATATCTATAATAGAGACTGATGACTATCGCTCAGTATTTGTTTTCCTCCTTGGGTTTTAGTAGTAACATTGATGCCCAGCTAAAACTGTACTTCTCATCTGCTCTTGTTATTCAACCCAATTTGAGCCACTGACATACGATTAGAAGCAATATGCACAACTTTCTGAAAATTCTCATTAAAGACATTTGCCCTGGAATCTTCCTCATTTTAGGAAATGGTGCTAAATAGAGAAGTATTAGAAGCCCCTTGCTGAGGAAAACAGAGCTGTCCCACCAGAGCTGGACTGTTCTCTCGATTGGGGATGAGAGAGAAATAAATGTCCACTAATTCAAGCTATTTTATTTTGGGCTGTCTTCATTAGAGACGCTTAACCACTACTTGTGTAACCCAAGTATATCTTTCTTTTCTCCATATTTATAAAATGAAGAGGGTCAAGTCATACTTATCACAGCCTGGTTTCTTCACTATAAATTAATGCACATCTTTTCCCTTTTCCATTATATTGTAATTGAATACATCCCAATACAGTTCTTTATTTATCTTTGCATCTCCTCAAATTTTTAGCACAAGGTTTTTAAAAAAGTGAGCATTTGAAACATATTTGAATTATTTGTATGTTCCTTTTACTTCTCTCTTTCTTTTTCAAATTCTGGCCAAACATCTAAAATGATTATTCTCCTATATCTTTACACCTAATTTCTCCTTAATCCTAAACTTCCATTGTTTTAAAATCTTGCTTTTAAATCCATTGTCTTGTTCCTCAAATCTACTTTTTAACCATTTTTGAACTTCTAATACCATTATTATTGAATGATGCCTTCCCTTTGAACTTCTGACATGCACCCTTGTTTCTCACTCTCTGCCCCACTAACAGATAATCTGTCATGGCTCTGTTTCAGCTCTCAAAACTTTCCTTCTTCCTTAATCACTTAACACACTCATGACTTTAACTTCTATACTGATGATTACAAAACTCTCTTAATTTACAGCCATAAATTCTCCCTCAATGGATTTCCATCCATCTCTGTAACTTCCTACCTAGGTAGCTCACCATTACCTCATGCTTAAAATGTTTAAAATTGAACCAAATAACTTCCCCCATATTATCTCTGTTTCCCAATTTCTCCTTTTCTAAATTGATGTGTCACTTCTCTGAGCTCTTGAGACTTAAAGTGTATCTTCTTTTACTATTTTTACTTAAATACAAACTATGCTTAAGACATGTCAACTTTTTAAAAATGTATCTTTGATTCATCTTACCGACTTCATTGCACTTTTGTTTCCATTCTTAATCACGGACTTTCTAAAACTGTCTCTACTTGATTCTCCTTTTCTCCATTTTTGTCTTGTAAAACTATCCTCATATTAAGTTATGCATCATGAAACTCCCCTTGTGTAGAATCAATATCTATTAACTACTGAATTATTAGGTTTAACTTTCTCTGTCTCTGAATTTCAAGGCTCAATATAATATGACTCAATATTTTTAACTTTATTCAAACTATTATGTAGACTGGCCCATTGTCTCATTATGCCTTTGTTTATGCTGTTTCTATTAAGTGAAAAGTCCTCTTCCTCTTCAGTTAATTCACCCAACTGGCTTCTATGCTACTCCTTTCTGAAATTCCATAGTGTTTGCTTTTGCCCAAAAGTTGATCTGTTTCAAATATCTATTTATCACCTACTGTCTTTTGCTGTACTAATGTGATTTCATGTATCAATTTTGTATTTCCAGAGTTTCATGAGGCCTTTGAGAGATGGACTTTTAAAAATCATTCTCCTCCTCCTCATTATTATTAGCACTTGCATTACTTCAGTGCCTAAAAGAGGCATAATAGAATGACTACAAGTTTTGAGACTGGAAGGTTTGAATTCCAGCCAAATACATACTTTGTATGTGGTGACAGATCACTAAATCTCTCTGAGCTGAATATTTATTTCTAAAGAGGAGGCGGGAAAACTCAGCATGAGAGATAATATGTGCAAAGCCGTTTTCAAACTACATATTGCTACATAAATGTTAGCTGAAAGTATATAATCCTTGTTTAAAGATTTCTTACTCTAGACCTTTAGAGCAAAGAAATAATTTAGAAAATATATAAAATAATCTACTACTCATTGAGGGAATACATTACCATTTTTTGAAAAAAAAGCTAATTCAACATTAATTTGAACACTTTGTCATATCACAGGCAAACTACATTACAACTAATGAAGAGTACAAAAATGATTTTTATAACATATATAATTTTAAGCCAATTAGTGATATATTTTACACATTTGAACACTTTTTTTCCTTAAGCTGAAATGGCCTTTCTAGAATGTGTCCTATTTATATGTCAGAATTTAAATTCAATATGTGTTTATTTTTTCATCATCATCATTATTACATAACAATCCTCAACTTTCACGTGTTATGAAAAATTCAAAGCAAATCTTGTTTAAAAATTTAACAGCAGTTAACGGTAATATTCTGGTTTTTTTGTTCTACTTAATTGCTTTGTTGACATATTAATTCCCCACCTCATTTTATAGATGGGAGTAAATGGATTGGAATAGGGAAAATAAATAGCTTTTCACATTAATTTGTCTTAAACAAAATAGACACAATCATTTTCAAAATCAAGTATAAACAAACATTCTAGTACGAGGAATACAAAGTTTTTTTTTTCATTACATACTATTTTCATATTTACTGTGACTTTGTTTTTCTTTTCATGGGCATATAGTTAAACTAATAATGTGAAGACGTGATCTCTTACTACTTTTTACTTTAATTTCCAAAGTAATTTAAAAATTCAAAATTTGATATTCAAATTTTCAATTGTTACTTCTGTATTTGTGGGGAAAAAAGAATATTTTGAAGGATGATTACTATTTGCTAAGGAGTGGTACACTTTGTTGAATAAAAATATAAAATTCTCAAAAGAAAATACAGTAGTCCTTCTTAATAAGAGAAGTTACATCATCCAAACTTAAAAAAAAAAAGGCAAGTGACAAGGTAATGCTAACTTGGTTATTTAGGAGAGAAATGGAAAACAGGTAATTGCTACACTAAAAACCCATATACGTTAAAAACTTTCACAGAATGACTATAAGCCATGTTTTCAGGCTCAACTCTGGATTTTTTTAAAATCATCCTACACTTCAGCTATGCTCAACTTTTCAGCATTATTTAAATGAGCCATGTGCTTTTTCAACATAGGTGATCAGGCCAGTTTGGTGCCAACACAAGTGAGCATGGATCCACTGGTGTGTTTGGCATTTTCTTGAGAAGCAGAACGTGGAAATGGACTTCATAGTTGTGTCTCCAGTACAAAAGAAAATAGCCAGAAATGAGAGAGTATTTTTAGAAATTGGATCTAGATGGACTGAGAGTTGCTAGGGTAACTCTACTTCTAGGGTATGAAATTACTATTAGTTTAACCCATAAATGGCCTGAGAAGGGCCAGTTATAACAACTATCATACTTGGCAGAAAATTAGATTAAATGTCAGGAAGAAAGGAAATGAGGTCTCTACAGGCTTATCAGATAATAGACAACCTTACCACCTATCTGTTAAGTACAATCTGCTGAAATTATGCCATTTTCATGACATCTGTAGTGGGATCAGGCATAAAATGGGAACATCTCAAGCCTTTGTAAAGCAGACTTGCCTGCGACTAAAATTGTTTAAAACAAGCCATGAAAGAATAAGGTGAGGCATTACAGAGATGGCAAATTTAAATAATAAACTATTGAAAATGTTACATATAATGAATAATAACATCACCTGATGTTTGTGTCACACTTGCCAATTATGAAACAAACTTAGCTATATTGTCTCATTCTGAACTGTAACAAATGACTTAAGAAAACTATTACATTAGTATAAAAATTCAGTTTTGTATAAATCAGGTATCTCTGAAGTGCACAGAAGGTTTGAGTCAGGTCTGTAATGGAGATCGCCTGTGAAAATGTTCCTACTCTCTTATTGCAATCCATTCCAGTCAGCATTTCAATCTTTATCATTTCCCATAAAACAAGAAAAGGGAATTCCTATGATCTAATTTATTCCTAATTATAGAGGAATACTATTTCTAGTTTTTCCTACTTTCCAATCAATGAGTAATTCCTTAATTTTCACTCGAATAGAAGACTTCCTGCTTCATCACTTTTTAACATATTTATATCCTTCACTATGTAGAACCAAATCATGCACACTGAGAGCATTCAATAATTAAGATTTGGTCATAAAGTCTGTGATATTATCAGAATACAAAAAACGTCACAAATGCTCAAGAAAAGATCATGCTTTAGTTAATAAGTGTATTAACTAATTTCTATTAAAAATATTATGGAATAAATGTTATTTTTTATTTACTGCCATATCAAGCCTAATAATATAAATATTTCAAATGTTAAAATTAAATAATATATGCATAGATATGAAATCCTTAAGGAACATTCAAATTTACCTGAAGCCTAAACTTTACAGTATTATGTTTGTACTATATTTTAACATTGCCACCTGAATTTGAATTATTTTTCACATGGAATAGAATATTGCTATTTTTTACACTGTTAGAAAAAGTTATCTCTTTAAATCCATGAAGAAATACTAAAAGCAAGAGCCCCAGCAATTTTTCTGAAAGATCACAGTATCTCTCAAATGAAATAAATCAAATTAAAGGAATTTAACTAAACATATTTGAAGAGAGGGGGAAAAAATACCTTCCGGGATAGATTGCTTATTTTTCAAAACCATTAATTTTTAATTGACATTGATTTCAGAAAATAAAATATTAAGAAGTAAGCTTAAAACATTGTATGTGTCTACGATAAACAATTATCAAACATAATGTCATGTAACTTTGGGGAAGGCACCATATCAAACTCACTGCCATTACATTCTTTTATAATATCCATATGAAACTCAAGGATTCACTACAAGAATCTTCTGTAAAAATATCCTTGCCACCCTGAAGTTTCGTCTGTGCAGTTATCTTTTATAATGTTATTACAAGTCTAAGAAATAATTTCCTAAAATACTGTTTTATTCCATAGTAAATAAAATAAAGGTTTCTTTTCAGTGGCATGCTCTGCAAACATACCAAATTATCCTGTGAAACTGTGTGATCTTCTTATATTCAGCAAGTACCACTTCACTTTTAGGTTTTATTATTTGTTTGCTTGTTTTTTTAATTTTTTACTTTCTTAATGAATAATAAACAATCTTCTTAGCCTGAAAATTTTTAGTCATCATTCCAAATACGTAGTTTATGTAACCTGCATGGCAATTTCTTTCAATAAGAATGGTTGTTATTCTGTTATCAGTTGCTATTATACATCTTCTGTTGTTAGTTATAAATAACATATATCCCAAAATATTTTTATTGTTCAATAAATTATCCATATTACTTAAAAAGTAATTGTGTGTGCATTAGTTTTGAGTCACACAGCCCGTATCATTTTTTCTTTAATTGTACATATTTAAGTACTTTTAGAGTTAGTTTCTAAGGAAAAGATTTTCCTAGCTATAATTAATTTCAGTTACCTTCCAAATCATTAATGAGCAGGATGTTAGTTAAGGCTATAATGCGTTTTCTATACTTAGATGTAAAAGGCTTCATAATGTAAAATGATATGGTGATGTTTTGAAGTTGGATGAAGTTAAACTATGGTTAAGAAAGGAATGAAAGTAATAAAACATTTAGAAAACACTTTTATGTAAGCTAAGAAATAATATATCAGTTTACAATTTAGGAAGATGGTTTTAAATAAAATAAACACAACTGAATGTAAATATATTTGGTTCAATTGAATATAACTGAAAGCTCAAGAAACCTGATATCATACACTCATAATCCCATTTGATAAGAGTAAATAAAAGTGAATGCAGCATATTAGCTAGTTAGCACTATGCCAAAAGGTTTCCAATTAGAAAGAGTAACACTTGGGTGTGGTGGGGGGGCAACACATTGTCAGGATCAGTAATACGACTCACACTCCAAACCAAAGTAACTCCCACATTGCAAGGACTATAATGTCGACAGATTCTTAATATAGTCATTATCATCCATACTAATATACAGCTAGCCTATTTGCTCTTTTCTTGGAATAGCCCCTTGCCGATTTTGGATTAGCTAGAATATCTATATAGCTGAATTCACTGGTATCTCACCAGTGCTCAACCCATTCCATATTACATCTGACCACAGATAGATGTAACTGGGGGTAATGCTATACTTCATACTCAGCATGACCAATATCAAATTGATCATGCTCTCCATACCAAACTGACAACCTGTCTATATTCAACCAATGTGGCAGGTAATCCAAGCATTGTCCCACAATCCAGATTAGAATTCTTAAAATCATCTATCTTTTTCTTAAATATCCACATCTAGTACATCACCAAAGTTTATTGCCTATTTTTTTCAAAATAATTCCTGAATTTGCCTTTCCATTTTTATTTCACACTCCCCTTATTACTACAATTTTTGGTGGGCTCTAATTACCTCCAAACCAACACATCTCCCTATCTTTTGATTCTCTCACCTATATCTCTTTTGTCTTTTCTATTTATGACTATTAAGTAAATCTTCTCAAACTTTAATACTTTTTATTCATTGATCAAGAATCTGCAAGAAACCAATATTTCTTTTTTATAAACTCTAACCTCTTCTGCCCAATATTCAAGGCTTTAGAAAGCTGAGTCATATCATTTTTTCTACTATGCTCTAACAAGAGTCTTATGGTTTATCTAAATAGATCAAAAATATCTCATACATGACACTCATATAACATCTTACATAGCATTCATATTAAGATCTCTTTACTTTGTTAATGTTCTTCCTCCCAGGAAAAATGTTCCTTTATTACAGCTCATTAATATTCTACTTATATTTTAAAGCATAATTCACTTATTGGATGATACACTCCTTGAAAGGTAAATATGCTACTCCATATTTATTTTAGCCTCCTCCACCTAAAATGCTCACTTCATTATTGCCCATTTGATATCATTTTCATATGTTAAAGCCTTAATTCACTTACTAATAGATTAAATGAATGAAGTATGTCATTTTAATTTTACATCTCTTACAGCATTAGAACAATACTGAAAATAGAATAAGTGCTCAAAAATACTATTGTTTCATTGGGTCCATATACACAGAAAAATGAAATTCTTTAGCACTTTGTTCAGTGTTATGTAGAATGTAGATGCCAGTGGATGTAGAAGATTCAGAGCAGAGCTGCTTTTTCCATGAATAATTATCATACTAATGCTTTTCAATAAATTGCACACAGGAGTTCCTTGGGCATAATAGAGGTATTATAGAGTTAATAAAACAATCACTAAAATGTATCTGTTCTTCCGTGTGTATTTTATTAAGCGAGAGCAATGTAGTAATATTGATAGCTAGTAAATTTTGGACACTTTGGACAAAGAGTATTTGTATGAATTCCTTGTTTACCCAGTCTACCTGTCTTTTTTGTGATCTACTTCTTGAGCAGATTTATTTTGTATTTAAACTACTGATGGAATCAATCTTACTGCTTTAAATTCAAAAATAAAATATATCCAGAATCATACTATTTCTGTGTTTTATCGAGTAACATATTTTTCTGAAAAATAAACAAAATATCAGAATGATTATTAACCTATAAAGATAAAGAATTTTTAAATGAGCTTTGCATTACTCTCATCTTAAGTGCAAGTTTCTTCAACAGAATGAGTGGTGGGATCTAAAATATGACTGGTTTGTAAACACTACCTCATAAGATGCATTTCCTTTAAAAAATAAAGAGAAATATTAAGAACCTCAGGCCACTGCTGGATGGCCAGCCTCAGTGGAAACAGCACTCAGAAAAAGTGGGAACAAGGTATTTTTTAATGACACAAGGAAAAACAACATGAAACTAGATGAGGTGGCGTGGAAATTCTAAGAAACAACAGATCTCTTCATGAAACTGAGGAGTAGGCACAATAATACCCACCCCTGTTAGCAGGATTTTGGCTATCAATGAAAGCACTGCTTTTAAATGTGCACGAAGAGAAGCGAGTCTTAGCCATTATTCAGCCTTTTCAAGCCCGGCTTTCCCACCACTGGTAATCATTGTTGATAACATAATCTTTGAGCATGAATTAAGGAGCTGCACGTAAATACTAAGAGCTGACAGGGATGTAGGCCTGAGACTGGGAATCCCTTTCACACTTATTAATGCTAAGTAGTGGGAGCTAAAACACTTCTTAAGAGAGTCTGTTAGAGTTTTTTGCTGCCTTGAAAACGAGTTTTTTAAAGGTTCTGCTCTTCCTCTGATTACTTGTTCTATTTGCCAACCATTTTTTTAAATAATGTTTTAGGATGTCTGTGCAAGTTAGCCGTATACCCAATAAAAAATATAATTGATAGTTGTCTTGATACAACAGATTATATAGTCTTGTCTATAGTGCTGATTTCTCTCTCTCGGTCTCTGTGTGTGTGTTTGTGTGTGTGTGTTTGTGTCTGTGTGTGTGTGTGTGTGTGTGTGTGTGTGTGTGCGTTGCCCCTGGTAATCACTAAAGCTTCTTTCTAGAATTGATAACCCACAAGTTTATTATCTTTTTGAAAATAAATCCTTACTTATTATCTATTCACTCACAAGGGTAGACATTACAAGGGTAATTACTTAAGCAGGACAGGATTTTGTAAAACCTTTATTATAATAATGCAATTAAAGCTCATGATTTTCAACTTACATACTTAAATTATGTGTGTGTATTATTGTGTAATAAGATGAGTCACTTCACCTCACTTTTCCTCCCTGAAAAATGATCATATTAGACTAAATGTTCTCAAGTTATTTTTACTCTTTGAATGTTGTTTTACGTAGAAAACAAACAATGTTTTGTGAGAACTTTGGATGGGACCATTATTTGAATAGTATTAAAGGCAAATTTTTGAGAATAGGGGCTTCCAGTAAGTTAAGATTCAATATGAGGTAAAGGAACGGCAATGTTAAAATAGTTGATTAAAAATAAATCAAAGTGTTACAAATAATGATTACCTTTAAGTTTAAAGGCTGTCTAGGATAATCTTTAAGTCAGCATCTCCCAAAATAAAACATTCTGAACCAGTAGCAGATACAATAAAGCTACCCAAATACATTTACAAGAGTGGATACATATTTTCCTGAATTTTATAAAACTATAAATAATAATATTCTTGATTCAGTAAAAATCAAGAATCTATTGATGAAATGTAATACCAATTTGGTCTGATCATTTGACTGATTCATGTAATGAGGCAAACAGTTTTGTAATTGTGACAGGCACCTCATATTGCTGGGGAGGCTACAGTTAAAATTCTTGGCTATAGCCCCAACTTCCTGATTGGCATTCATTATTCCTTCTTTCTTCCTCTCTTTACATGCTTACCCATCTCAAACTAGCTCTGACTTTTCCAGATGTAGTTTATCCTCTCCTTACCAGCTCATTTCTCCCTTGTTTACTGTATCCCCAACAGAAGACAAAACAGCCCTTACATTTTATATGGTAGAAATAAGAAAGCAATAATACAAATGCAGTGTTTGTTTGGCTGCCTCTCTTTAAGGGGCCACTATACATATATGTGAAGTAAATCCACTGAAGGGTAAAACAAAAATTATCTTAGATAAAGATACTTGAAAAATTATTTATCTTAGATAAAGATACCTGAAAAATTATTAGCCAATGCTTGTGTATGTGTGTGTGTGTGTGTGTGTGTGTGGTGTATGTTGGTATTATTTTACTGTGACCCCCTTTAGTTATAGTCACCTAATTCTTTTCCTGTAATTTCTATGGCATTCTGTAGCTCTCTAATGATCTTCTTTGTTTCAATTTCAAGATAAATGGTAAGATCTATTATTTAAAAGGCAGATCTATTATTTTATTTGTATAAAATAAAAAACAGAGAATACACCTGAAAGTCATATGATTCACATGTACAACATGCTCAAATATACAATATGATTAGGTCTATGTTCTTTCCTTATAAATAAGTACTATGTATTTACCAATGAAAAACCTCACAAAATTATACATTGCTAACACTTGATTTGAACTGATGACATTCATATTTAACTATTTGGCTTCTATCTCCTTTCACTTTAAGAATGGAAGAATATATTTTTTCTTATGTTATTACTTATGGCCAAAGCAAACATTAGAGAGTATAATAATAGTAAATTAGTAACAATTGACTCAAATTTAAAATCAAGATTTAAAAAAACCAAACAAAATCCCCCAGTCACTTGGGCCATATTGCTAGATAGTCATAAAAATGACTGTTTAATTATAATATTTTAACTTGCAGATAATAGTTTTTAGTGCAAAAACTGACTAAACTGTTTAGCATATACAGCATGTTTATGCATTTGATTATAAGCAGACATTCTATTTTTAATTTAGAAACATATACCACTGCCAATATTTATTAAATGTTTCTGATTCTTTATAAAGATATTTAAAATAATTTAAGTGATTCTGTTTAATACTCAAATTCTATAACTACATATACTAAGAGTTTTAATAATACATTATTTTTAAAACAATTACTAGAGATTTTATACAACACTTCTATCAGTTTATCTGTTCTCAAAACTCATAACATTTCTGATTTTATCAGATTTTTATTTCTGATAGTGCTGCATTATATTATTTTACATAATTAAAATTTTTTATTCTCTACATGTAGATGTTAAAAATTGCATTATTTCTTAATGCCTTTGAGAATTGTTTATGAATTCTGGTTAATGAGAATTAATCTATATATATCTATTCATTGTGTTCTGTATTACACAATGCATATATATCTGTATGTGTGTATATGTACACAGATATACAGAAACACACTTACACACATACACACATTATTTTTTTCAAAAAGGCAATGAACATATTTTATGCATTTCCCAAGGATGCTTTTTTCTTCTTCATTTTTTATTCATTTGAGGAGCTTTACTTATCCAAAGCCAATAAAACAGGAAATGTGCTCACGAAAGAAGGCCAAGAAGTCCATCTGTGACTACTCATTTCTTTGAGCTATCAGTTATTTAATTTCTCAAAATATTTTTTCATCTCAAGCTTGACTATCTACTTCACTAAACAAATAGAACTGTTCCAACTTCTTATAGCAGTAGACACTTTTTTCCCTAAATCCCAAATGATCTTTAAAAAAAAAAAAAAGAAAAAGAAAACCCTATCTTCCTTCAGCATCCAAAAATTTTTTACTCACTCTGAAACCCTCATTGCAGGCATTTAAATTATTCCTTCCTGTTCCTATTTATAGAGATTTATAGGACATTATAACAATAATCATGTTTATATATTTTTTTCTTATTTGGTGTACTTCAGTAAAATCTGTCCAAATATTTACCATCAAAATCTCTTTTATACTGATTATGAGGTCAATTATTTTTATTAATAATATTTTATCCCTGTGTAACAGCTGGTAGTACCTTAATAAAAGTTACAGAATAACCTTTGTGTTTTTTACTTTGAAGTTGGGTTTTACTAATAATTTCAAACACTGTTTAAAATTATTTTTTTGAAGAGAATCCTTTAATTTCTATACTAGTTGAGAGCCCTATTTCCAGTCCTCTTGCACCTTTGACTGTGTGATCTCTAGTATGTCTTTCAACCACTCAGTGCCTCAGTTATCTTATGTATAAAACAAGGGAGGGGCATAAAAACACCTTTTCATTCCAAAAGAATTTTATGATGTTCTCAATATGATTGATATTTCATTTGCCTTAGTTTGTCTGAATGTGCTATGAACATTATATCTCCATTTTTATCCTTCCTATCTTATCTGTCTTTTCATAGAAATATTTTTACTTGAATGTATGCACTCATTTGTTAAACATATTACACTTTGCAAATTTATTAATTGAAAGACAGCAAGTTTAATAAATTAGCCTACATTATTTTATATAATTATTTACTATTTCTTGTAAGTTCTAATATCTATTTACTCTCTTCCTCTTCCCTGGATCTTTTTTATGGTAACATTAACTTATAGGTCCTAAAATTTTTATATAAATATAGCATTATAGGTAAATATATTTATCTGTAATGTACTAAAAAGATAATAATCAAGGAATAGGTAAATTGACTACAACAAAAATCTTTCCTCCTTCAAGTTAGCTTAGATATAAACATTCATATATTATCTAAGCTGCATGAAGGATAATAAGGAAAAAGTTCAATAAATACTAGTATGTAAAAATATTAGGCTGGTGCAAAATAATTGTGGTTTTTGCCATTAATTTTAATGTACTTTTGGCAAAACCGTAATTATTTTTGCACCAACTTACTAGCTGCACATAATAAAATGACTCAACAATTTCTTATTAAATCTAGTCCAGCTTCAAATTTTTATTTATATTTTAAAACAACCAAATACAATATAATAAATAAAATTTTCTTCTAAATTTAATCTTTACTAAATGACAGCTCGGACAGAATGATGTAGGACTGAAAAAACAGTGGCCAAATCATGCTGAAAAGCTCCTATCAGTAACTACTGAAACAGTAGGAAGAGAAAGAAAGGGGAAATTCAGAAATGTGCTCTTCATTCTTACAGAAAATGAAGAAGGAGGAGGAAGATAAAAGGGGAGAGGAGGAAGAAAATTCCAAAGACCCTGAAAAACAGTGAGTGAATGCACAAAGATTAGTGTCTACTTAATGTCTTAAAGGATAAATGAGGAAATAAGTGAAAAACTAAAATGTAGCATATTGCTACACACTACATAGCTGATAGAACTCTAAAGTTTATGTCGTAGTCATATTTTATGGATTGAAACCATTTTAAGATCTTCTAAAAGAAGAAAGAAAAAAAGATAAAAAAGAATAACCTAATACCTAAAGTAACATTAAATATTATGAAGAAACAGATTCCTCTTAAAAACCGCAAAACCCAATGTTAGCTACGAGTATTAAAGTCCTGCATGCTCAAGACTTAAACTTTGAACTTTACTTACAGTTGTGAAAGTAAAGTTCTGTCACTGGGTGGCTAAATGTTGCTTTCGTACTGTGGTGCACTGCAGGCGGTCACCAATCTGGCTCCAGTTCTATGATTAAATATGGATTCTTGTTAGGTCATCTTATTTCTTTAAGTTTCAGCTTCTTCATTCAAGCATGAGGTTCCAATAATGATATGCTCAGCTTTTTTTTTTCTTTTAAATCAGACAGGGGCCTAGAACTCCATAGGTTTATTTGAAATGCTGTATGCACTTTTATCGTTTTTAATCACACAATTAAGTTTCCCTAAATGTCTTAAAGCATTCAGATGATGTTTATAAACTATTCTTGTTATTCCACTAACCTAATTTGGTCTATTTAAAAGTTTTTCAAGAACTTAAGACTTTGTATTAGAAAATAAAATACCTATGTCCCAATGTCTTATTTAAATGTTATATATCTAATATATATTCCTTAACATGTTGTACAGTTGATACACTTCTTTATACCTCTGCTTTCAAAATATCATATCCAGAAGATTTTCAGAATTACATTCAGCAGTTTCATTAGCTTTATACTGCAAATCTCTGAGAAACTGTTAGCAAAATCTTTATGATTGTAGTCATTTTACCATGTTATTCAAAATGCTTCTTGCCTTTGTACAAAGTTCACAACTGTGCAACAAGTGATAAGTTTGTAAAATAACATATGAGGAAAAATAGCAATCAACAATTTGTTGTTCTTTGCTGTGCTACCACACTCTAGTGCGGACCAGTATTTATGAGGTCAAGTAAATCAAATCTCAGGTAGACAACAGGTGGTTAATAGAGGCAGAAACTACAAATAAAATTGCTACTTGTTGTACTCCGGTGTATTGTTTTTAGATACATTATAGACAAATATACCATTAGGATTACATCCTCTGCAGGCAATTCTCAACACTGAAATGCCATCCATTCTTATTAACTACTTCTTGAGCCTGCTTTTTATGCCTTTTACAGTGCTATCTTCAGGTGGACTAATTGAATAGCATCTGGTGCCTTCCCATGTACATTTGTCCTTTCCCAATAATAAATTTTAAATCCCTCCACTTAGACAGAACATGCATTACGTTTGCATTTCTCCACACTTCTTAGTGAGAGCATACTCAAAAATTTGGGAGTAAATGGTTTTAAGTCTCTGGAGTTTACAGTCTTTATCCCAAGGTTTAAACACACACAAACACACACACACACACACAGATCTTGTTTTATAGTTATGATTCAAGAAAGTTTAATAATCTGCAGGAAATTCTTTCACACAAAAGTCCTTCAAATTCCCTGGGTCAAAAATGAAAAGAGAAATTGCTAATTGTCTCTAGACAGGCAATTTTAATATCACTACAGTCAAGCTTTCAATATTCTAGGCTCACATAGGAGCGGAATTCACTAGTTATTTTCTAGCTTTTTGTACTATGGTACATGTATTCCAAAAGAAGTAGAACATTAATCATTAATTTCTCTCAATGAGTGGAATTTTTGAAACAATATTTTGTATATGATTTATTATACAATAAAATATCTAAACGCACTTTAATATTTGAGTTAAGAAAATCAAACTATTTTTAGTTGCTGTATTAAACTACAGCATATTTTCTTTAGTTGCTCTAGTAAAAACTACTTTTATTATCCAGAATATTTATTCATAAAGTCATCATTTCCCCATGTAGTACTATTCCATTTAATCAAACAATAAATAAAAATTCCATTTTTTATTTCTGAAAGAGTAGGTATAGTGACTGGCAGGTTATTCCAAATATATACATATTAGAAATTATGAATGAGCGAGACATTAAAAAATAAATTTTGCACACTGATTTATATGCTAATACTTATTGATAAATTGATGCATGGATGAATAGAAATAGGTAGGTAGATGATTGATAGATGTAGTAGTAATAAATTTTAGGTGGTGAAAAGATCACTAAATAAAAAAACAAGTGCATTAATGTTTAGGATGGAATATGAATTTATATAATCTCAATCTAGCTATAAATTATGATAATCAGTTTAATGTTTTGGATACATGCTGTTTTGTGTGTTATGATCACAAACTAAATAAATAATATAACTTTACTAACTTTAAGAAACAAACAACACTTGGTCAAATTTGAGAAAGAATAACTGCTATTTATGAAGCTTTTGTCTAACGACATATTTTATTTGGAGTAAGCTAAAACTAAGCTATAACACTTCCCATTAACTATAAATGAAATTGTATAAAAGGAGTCAGAAAGCTGCAAATGAAAGATTAAAATGAGTGAATGCCTTGCAGGATGGACCATATAATCCTTTGATAATTGCATTCATTTTAAGATGAGCCATTCAAAATTGCTACCTGTCCAACCTACACAAGATGAGCAAACTAGAGACATGAAGATAAAAATTGCTAGTTGTCTCTAAACAGACCATTTTAATATCACTACAGTCAAGTTTTAGACACTCTAGACTCACATATGAACTGAATTCACTACTTCTCTTTTAGCTTTTTGTACTATATACTTGTATTCCAAAAGTAGAACATTAATAATTGTCATTTCTTGTCTAACATGTAAATGAGATTTAAAATACAATGACCTTCTTTCAGTTCTGCTTGTACATTGTTTGTCATAAGCTAGACTAATAAGACTCCAACAAAAAGATTATAATCGTAAAAAATGTATAGTTTCACAACTGTGGATGAAATTAAAATCTACATAATTAATCCACCTTGAGTACTGATCATTTATAAAGAATAGATAACTAATTTCATTCTTGCAATAAACACAAAATAAATTATCAACTGTTTTCTAACATACTTTCTCCTTTACCACAGAAGGTAATAATACTAACAAAATTGGACTTTACATTAATCATATGCTTGCTTCCAAATTATGATTTGACAGTATTAAAAAGGGGAATTTGTTTGCTAGGTTGTGAGGATTTTTCCCAACTTTCTAATGATTTCATAAATTTTTATGCATTTAGAAAATTCTTAAGTATCCAATGATTATCTTTTTGATTAATAACAAAACTTGAATTTCTGACCAAGTTCACTAATAAATAATAACAGGTTGTCCTAAGACCAGCCATTTTTTTAAAAAATTAAATGACTTTAATTTTATAACTAAATGTAAATTTACACATTTATTGTATGTACTTTCTTAAAAGAAGATATTAAAAATTGAAGCAATGATGTTGTTTCAGTAATTTTTTTAAAAACTTCAAATTGTTATCTATACACAAGTTCTATGAAGTCATAAACTATCACTTAAATAGATGTGACACGATCTTATGCTTCCATGTACATCAGCAAAATGAGCACTGATAATTCCATTAGGAATCAGGAGACTAGATTCTTAGTCTTGTTACAAGTGATTTAATCAATTTAGAATGTGTACGATGAAGATAAAAAAATTGAAGTGAACTTATATGTTAAAGCAATGCTTCACATCTTTGATTCAGAAAGTTAACTAATAGAGAACATAAAATTAGAGATAATAGATTAACAGAGAAAAAAAAAAGGCCCCATGGCTAAGTGTTGGGGCAATGCTAGTTCAACAAACCTAATCAGATTTCTTTATTGCAAGAATTTTCAGAGCCTTTAATTTGTTAATAGTGAATTCCTAAAAGAAAACTCTACTACATAGTTCTCCTGACCTTATTTGATCATAGAGATATTTTCCCCTAGAAACAGCTTAGTATCTGATGATTTGTAAAAGCTCTCCTAAAATATGCTATGATGCATTTATATTATATGGGCATTATGAAGGGTATCAATTTACCAACTATTATTTTTTTTTTTGCTCCAACTTCTTCATGGCTATAGAGAAGTTGGGAAAAACATTGATGTATTTGAATATCCCACATCAAAATAAATCAGAGTTATTTTCTACAACATTAAAAATTTACATTTTGGTAGCATCACTTAAAATATTAGAGTAATGATTCATGTTTCTTACACAAAACTAGTTCGGCAAATTTGAATTTCAACAATATAAACCAGAACCAGAAAGAAAGTATAACAGAAATCTAAGACATGAAATACTTGCACTTACTATTCATACGTTGTTTACGTTTCATTAACTTGTTTTAAAGAAAATGTGGTTTAAAATAACAAACAAGAAGGGAGCAGTTATACTGCTTAGAGACAGGCATTCTGATAACTGATGACAATGAAGGAAAAAGAAAATTTCAGAAATGAGCACTTGAAATAAAAATTTTGAGAGAATTGCATGAGTGATGAATCATTACTTCACAATTCAATAAATCCCTATGGGCAGCCACTGCCAATAACATACCCAATAATATCACTTTTCTAACAAAAGAACTGAAGTGGCAGTAAGCTCAGATAAAAGAAAGCCATTTCTGCAGCCTCTCTTGCAGCTAGGGCGATCTAAGCAAAATAATTCTAGTTAATAAGATATACAGAGAGGAAGCATCTCCTTTCTGAATAAAAAGGTGAAGACTTTTGCAGGTTGCTCTTTCTCTTTTCTCCCTTCTTCCCAGCCTGGGATACAGATAAAATGCCTGGCCTTTCAATGGGTATCTTGTAACTATGAGGATAAAAGTCTCTAAGAATGATGTAGCAGGTAGATAGAGGTGTTAGGTTCCTTGATAACACCTTTCAGCTGCTGTTTCAATTTTGTCTAATTTGAGACTATGAACACAATCATCCCCTATTAATTCAAACAACATGGTGAAGTTTCCTATTACCCGCGAGGGAACCTATTTCTTCTAATACAGGCCCTGAAGCTATTACTGAACTTTCAGGTAAAAATAATTGATGTTTATAATATTGCAACTAAATTATCTTAAAGAGTTTTATTCCTTTAAGAACTTTTGGTTAAAAATTATAAGCAGGAAAGAATATGTTGTAGTTAAAAAAATTTCCATGTAAATAGTTAAATTTTTGTAATTTAGTATTGAAAACTCAATAATTAAGAAAACATTAATATTCACAATGACTCATTCCCTGAAAACATCATATAGCTAAAGTCTTCCTGGTATAATTTCTCTTGTCCATAGATATGTTCATATACAGTTAACTCAAAAATGTTATGCTAATTGTTTAGGTATAAACTTATTTAAATGAGCAAGAGGATAAACTGACATTTACTTTAAGTTTAGAATTGTTTCCGAGGTTGTAATTATCTTAATAACAACTTAACTTTTTACTTTTGCTTTCAAGGCTCTACAACCTTGTCATTATCTTCCACATATCCTTCTTCATACATTGTGTATATTTGTATGTCAATACATTCCACCCGAACTACCTGCTATTAACTTTTACAGCTTACTGTTTTTCCCTTCTCTTGAACATATTACATATTAGTGGTATCCTAGGGCCTGCTCATTCTGGCTTGCAATAACTAATTTTGCATCTCTTTTCCCAAATCTGTATTCGGTGACCCTCCCATTGGTAGTTTGATATTTGTTATTGTGGGAATATTTAAACTATGAAAATTGGCAAATGCTACAAAGGAAAGCCCTTTTCACTGCCATAGCCAATTATTAAACTATCATCACATCACTGAACAATAAATATCATTTAAATTTTTAAGCCAATTTTATAGATGATTCATGAATTGCTCGACATTATTTAATTGGTAGTGTTAGTACCAGAAAGTTACCAGATGTACATGGTGAAGTAGAAGGATTTTTGTACCTAACATTGTAATAATATGCTATTAAATGTATTATTTAGTAGATCCAAATGAATTTGAAAGGCTTAGTGAAATGATAACAATGATCAGTTCTACTGATTTGTAATATGTTAGTGATAACAAATTTAAATCGTGGTCAATTTTTTAAAATACATAATCTTAATGAAAAATAAATATGATTTAGTCTTAAATGGATAACTAAAAACAATAAAATAATCAACTTTAGAATTTATGACTTCTAACTTCCACTTAAAATTTATATTTGTTATAGGAAATTAACTTCATCAATAAGCTGATTACAGATCCTTATGACTTATTCTTATTACTTAAAGTTATAATGGTATACTGTATTTTAGTTTATTTAATGTAGCCAAGATTATTCCTTATTGTTATGAGATTATTATTTTATGAGATTGTTATGGGATTACAAATTATTATAATCATCTATTGATCATTTTATAATAAGATTTCTGAAGAAAAGTCATAATATTGTTTGCCATGAATTCAGGCAATTTTACAAATGTCAAAGTAAAATAAAAACTATAATTAGACATTCAAAACTGGATTCTATTTTTTAATATACAATGGCTATCATGTAGTTCCATTCACTGGCTATCAATATACATTTTTTTTCTAAAACACCCAATTGTCCAATCAAATTAAGAGTGGCTTTAAATTGAGAATAGTAAGGAAAATGGCTCACATATAATATTACATAAAAAAACATAGGTTTGTCTTGTAAAAAATTATTTCTTACCAATATAGCTATTTATTTGCAAATAAAATACCAAACTTAAAAAGTAGTTATTTTAAAAGAACTATGAGAGTGATTTACATTTGAATTAATCACAGGTCAAAAGCAAATGTTTAGCTTGCAGTAAAAACTTGCTAAGGATTTTAATAGCAGTAAATCCAGAATTAACAGACTTCAGGCAGACTGTCCTCAGATAAGTCAGAAGGTCAAGAGATTTCTAATAATAAAAAATAAAACTATGCTTTTTTTAAGAAAAAAAAAAACAAGGACACTCAGTAAGTAAATGATGTTATCAACAAGGACTTGAAGCTAGCATTGGAAAGGATAAAATCATCTGGCCATTTAAATTGAATTAACTAATATGCAATTATCTGGATGACACAAAAATAGCCACAGCTACCATCAAGATATAAGGCACGTAAAGTTTTCTTTTTTGCAGGAAATTTTACCTATAAAAATAATTTTTATAACATCTTTCACAAAGCTGAATGACTTGTGGGTTTTCTACATCCCCACTAAATAAATTGGAAATGTCTTTTGAAAATAGACACTCTATTGTATCAAACAAATCAATAAAATATTTTAAAATTATATATATGCATTCTATACACAGTTTACTACCTAAAACAACTGAAATATGTTTGGAAATCATGTATTACTTTTGTTTTCAACTAAAATATCAAAATAAATATATATTTTGTAGTTGTTGTTGTTGCCCAGGCTGGAGTGCAATGGCGCGATCTCGGCTCACGATCTCGGCTCACCGCTACCTCTGCCTCCCAGGTTCAAGCGATTCTCCTGCCTCAGCCTCCCTAGTAGCTGGGATTACAGGCATGTGCCACCACGCCCGGCTAATTTTATATTTTTAGTGGAGACGGGGTTTCTCTATGTTGGTCAGGCTGGTCTTGAACTCCTGACCTCAGGTGATCTGCCCACCTCGGCCTCCCAAAGTGCTGGGATTACAAGCGTGAGCCACAGCGCCTGGCTCCAAAATAAATATGTTTAAATTCTTAGGTGGATGATTTAAAACATTATTTTTAATATCTTCCTAAATATTGAAGCTCTAATTGAAAATTGAAGTAGTAATATCAACATTTTAAAATAAATACACATTTCTCTAAGTATGAATCTTATTTTTGTATGTCCATTTACAAGCAAAATTTTCTCTATTTTTAATGTTTCTTATTTTGTAAAATCACTAGATTATTACCAGTTTCCAAAACATATCTTCAGTCTAGTGAATTGCTGAACTTATACTGAAATACACCTCCCAGCACCCCCCATTACCAAGAATAGTAAGGGAAGCAGGGAAACACTTACCTAATTTTATTATGTTAAAATAATATTCAGGTGCATATTCTGAACCAACTTAGATGACAGTTGTAGCCCTATTCTGTTTATAACTTTATCATGCCAGTAACATTCAAAACCTACAATTTCACCTTTGCTTCAAATATTAAGTTTATCCATTTAATAGGAAAATTTACTGCAAATGCGTTCATCTCATTTTATCATCTCAGGTGTAGTCAGAAGCCCATGAGAAAGCGAAATGTTAAAAGTAATTAATTTAGGATTTAACATCTCTTATAAAGAATAGCAGGAAACTATGTTATATCCAGGCGGGGAAAGAGAAAAATCATCCTTTATATAAGTTAGAAGGTATTAAAACTGAAAGTCTGTTTCAATCAATGCTCATTAAATAAAATAGAAAAAATAACTATAGGCTTGAAATGCAAATACATATAATAACTTCATTAATATGGTTTACTGTCATTAGGAATGAAACGTGAATTTCTGGGCTTCCAAACAAAATTTCAAAAATGAGTATAAAATCAACAAGTTTCTTAGAGAGATAACTTTATATTTTCATAGTCAGCTTTATTACACAAGAGCTAACTAGAAAAACTATACATATTAAAAGTTAATAGAATAGTTTGCATGGTCATTTGTTTTACTAATTATATTTATATACGAAATAGATCAACCAAGATATTTCTATCCAAAGATATTGAAATTCCCATTACTATTTAGGACAGCCACGATATTTTTTCTTAAAAAAAAAAAAAACAAAAACAACAAAAAGAAACCTCTCTCTTTCTATATATGTATACCCAACAGGATTGATATGAAAACAGTTTAACTTGAATGATGTAATTATGTAATGGAATGTAAAAAATTATAGCAATTAAGGTGTTGTGAGATGCTCTAATGAATGAAGTTACACTGGTTGATGACACTATATCTCCTACTCATTAATTATTTGGATAGAGTGCATAATTTTACTTAGTATAAAGAAAGATGTGATTTATCACTAAAATTTTGTCTGTACATTATTATTTAACATTGATATTTCTCTCATATCCATGAATTATGAAAAAACAATACTAATACCACTTGAGTCTTCAGAAAAACTCACAATGTTGTTTTATTCTTTTAATACACGTAGCTAATAATTTTCAGGGAAAAAGTGTTAGCATTTCCAGAGACTAGCTTTATAACACGTAGCTAATAATTTTCAGGGAAAAAGTGTTAGCATTTCCAGAGACTAGCTTTATAAAGCAAATCTACACATTTGGTTGCTAATGTCTCCTGTCTAGGTGCCCAGTTGATTGGAAAGTTTTCAAGCTTTCTTATTTGCAATCTAAAGAAAAAGACATACTTCTTAAGTACAGCTAACTAAGGATTTTTTTTTCAAGGAATTATCTGTTACTGTAAAACCGTATACTACTAACATGTAGTAAAAATATTTAATAGAGCATACTTTAAATAAAAAAAACTGCCAAGTTTCTAAATTTTGGGAAGAAAAACTAGAAGGTAAAGTTAACATGATAGGCAAAACAAATCAAGTGATACAAATGCTTTTCTGAATATGTTTTCCATTTTCTTCTAAATTTATTTTTTCTTTAGTGTCACATTCTTCTTCATAATAAGTTAAAATTAAAAAGTGTTACAATAACAGCATTCAACAAAAAGAAAACATCTCTAATCTCATTTGTGGTGAGGGTGAGGGGCTGGGGGCTGCTATATATGTATTTATTCCTTAAATCATATCATAAAAACACACAGTTACTAATTTTAAAAAAAGGTAATAAATGAATCTCTTTATAGTTCTCAAATATAATCTGGCTACTGTTGACATGCAATACGTATTAGTTTTCTTCTTTTTTCTCTCAATTGTCCCTCACCTGACCCACCACTCTGGTACAAGACTGCATAGACAACCATCCATTTGAAAGGACTCTTACCCCAAATAATTTACAGCAAAAGGACAGCTTTATCCAAGTAAAATTGTAACTAATTTAAGTGTCATGTTTGGCATTAAAGAAAAAAAATACTGACCTATTTTTCTACATTTCTCAAGACAATTGCCTTTTTATGAGCACAGTACTCCTAATCATTAAGACATACAGAATGAAAGAAAAATACCTAGTAAACAATTCTTTATTTCTTCATTATCTTTATGTCACTGGCTTCCTGCACAGACTTCACTTTTTAAAGGTATATGTTCATATAAAAGATGTCGCCTGTCTTTACTAGACATTGTGGATTAAAATATTTCATTTAAAAAAATTGAAATTTTTTAAAGCCACTGATTTTGCTGGAATAGTTGTTTCAGATTGAGAAGACCTTTCTTAGGTTGACTGAGAAAGCTTCCAAAAAGACCAAGGGCACCATTTTTCCAGTGGCTATGGAAAACAGAAGTGAAATTTTGTTTTGAGAATTACCACAGACAGACCAGCCTGGAGAGGTGTATTCTTACAAGCAATTCACAGTATTCTGCCGCTATGAAAAAATGTTGCTATCTAGAAACAACAAAACATAAAAGAAAAAGTGTATCACTTGGTAAAAAATGATTGTTTTTCCTTATCCTGTTGGTTCTTAAAAGACACCTCAAAAAAATATTTATTCTGGTCCAAAAAAAAGGAAGAAAGGAAAAAGAAAAAAAGAATAAAGTGGAAGATAAACCAGTATTATTCTTGTCCTATTAGCTTCTCAGCTTGAATTAGCTAGTGAGAAATGTATAAAAGACACATTAGTAACTGCCAAAGAACCCACTACACTCCATTGTCCAAATCTTTAAAAAAATTTTTTATACGTGTGCTGCTCTTATCAGATGTGTGTGCATGTGTATGTGTCTGTGTGTGTGTGTGTGTGTGTGTGTGTGTGTGTGTTAAATACAATGACATGTTCCATAAAGAATTGATTAAGAACAGAGGTGCCATTTTTTGGTAGCAAATATAAGAATTTAATAAGCGTTGTACTTCAAGTTTTAGCACTCTGAGTTTCTTCATATCACCCCATAAACTGTAACTTATTATAATTAATTTTGTGATTTACTGAGCTAGACATTATGAAACTTCTAAATGGAAACAAATCATCACAGATGACCATAGTTCTCAGAAGTTCATTGGCCAAGATATTTTTCCAGTGGAAACACTTAAAATGACTAGAAAGAGGAAGTCTTTTTGCTTCCAGGAGTCTTTCCACTCAATTCTGGTGATGGAGGCAAAGAAGGATACAGAGGCCAATAATTTATCCATAGAATTTGAAAAATAAAGATGGGCTATCAAATTTCTGCTCTTGCGTTTATACTTAATTTTGGCCTAACAATAAATTATATTTATGTGAAAAAAATAATTTGTAGATTGATGTAGATACTTCTAAAAAATAAATAAGCATGTTTATCCTTAAAAAATGCCAACTAGCATTTGATTACAGAAAATTACAGAAAAAGCACATTAATTTTAAATTGCCTTTGTCTTACTCAATTTTTTCTCAAATCTTTTACACCTGTAAATGTCTGGCATAATTTAAAAATTGAGAGGTGGAAAATATGTTTGATTTCTCCTCTGAAGATTAAATTATCTTCTTTGTCCTACATGGATACTTTCAGTCAAGAGCTCTGTTGCCTCAATTACCTCAATACCATATTTATCACAACTGAAAAGAAGTCATTGATTCAACTTAGTTTCAATTGGTTTGGTTCTACTAAAGATACAAACTAAGAATTTTTTCTGGGTTGGTGACTCCACATATACTTGCAACCATAAACATCACTGGAACCACTAAAATAAAGAGGTACATTGTAACAAAAAATAATAATTTTAAAAATATTATTTAGTGCAGAAGTAGCCTCATCTACTATGGAAATATTTTAATCCACAGTTTGAAAATATATCTAATTTTCATCAATGTTTACTTTTAGGTCCATAATTTAGATAAATATTTGTCAATATTTAATCAATTTTAGCAATCACTTTAATATGTGACAGGCATATTAGCAGAACAGCACGTATTTAAAACTAAATTTTCAGTAAATTTTAGGAAAATTGCTAAGTGTGAAGAATAATAATAAATAGGCTTTTCTGCAATTTATTTAAGTAAAAAATAGGACATTAAAAATAAAATATATCTAAAGTTATGTTATGGAAAGTTAAAATTGAAATCGTTTTTTTTGGTAAAAAGCTGGCAAGTTGGTGGCAAAGACAAACAACAAAATTGGCATTTCATTTTAATGTGACAACAGTCGTTTTGACAGCGGATTAGTTTAACACTGAACATCCCACCAAAACAGTTATCTATTTTTAAGTGCATAATAATTCAATGTTGTCCTTCACCGTACATTAAATGTCACCCATCACTGTGACAAAAATATGAAAGCTATTGCACGCTAGTCCATAGCTGAGATCAAAGCTGTTAATGTAAGCACTTTGGATATGGTTTTCTAAAGTCAGTTCAACCATCAAACAGTTAAGCCAAAATATAAAGTTAAGACAGTGTTGGTGGTCACTGTAAATAATAAACCATTGAGTAGATTCTGGGGAGTCCATGCCCTGCTGCCTAACCCACTAATATGATAGATAATATTCTAATACTCTAAAAATAATTAAAGGCAATTATATACAGAAATGCACAAAAAATTCCTATATTCTTTTAACTTAGAAAAATGTTATGCATGTAACACATTGAATATTCTTTGATTTACTCTTCTAGCTAAGAAGTCCAGGTTACTTAATACTGTTTGCCTTCCTTTACACTTTCTCCTCTATTTGACCCTAATCATTTGTTCATTTAAATAGCCTAATGCATTTTTATGTAATAGTACTCATATTGCAAAATTTGGTATAGTAATTTATTCTCCAAAGTTTATTTGTATTTGTAAATGCCAATTTCAAAATAAGATATGCACTATTAAAGACTTAGTGAATAATTATTAAGGTTACATCAATCCTGTTGGAGGGATATGTGTGTACCATTATTCCTTTCTTTTAGGTTTGGTCTTCAGTTATTCATCTCTGTACATCAAACTGCTAAGAACCCTAGACCAATAATGAATTTCAGAACAGCTCAATTTTCTTGGAGATATATATGGTTAAGAGGAAAAAAAACCTAACATATATGGGAATTTTAATGGAGTCATTTTATAAACATTTTCTATTATATCAATAGTAGCTTTAGTTTAATAAAATAAATATTTGAAGCAAGGTGAAAAATATATTTTATTATTAATGTAAGGGGTGGGTGCCCTAACCAGACTTTTTATATGACTAACTGCCATCTCTATAATCATATGCCTAGGTGAAAGAAAAGAGAAAGAAAAAGGAGGAGAAAACATTTAGGGGAAAATCTGAGTAAGCATGAACCCATCCCGGACAAGATTTCTTCCTAATTCTCTGTCAGCAAAGAGCTACCATTAGAATTTTGGGATAAGGTCATTCTATGTCTAGAAAGCACTATCCCAGGCTAATCCTTACTCTTAATTAACATTCAGAGCTAATTCAGATAAGCATGCTGATTATGTCATTATGCTATAAATAATAATATAACTGCTTACAGGAGATCATAAAATATAAAACTATATGGAGACAAAAACCAACACCATACATCTCCTTCTCAGTATTGGTTAAATATATTTAAAACATTTATTAAGTATTCTTAGATATTTTTTCTTAACATGTGAGGGGAAATTTTTAAAAGGCATTGACAAAATAATCTACTTTTAAATCCAATTTTAAAAACATAAATTCTAACAATTATTATTAGATCTTAATTTGTAATAAAATTAATATTATTAATATGATAGTAGAGCAGATATTCAATAAGCTTCTAATCTAGTAGTCTAATGACAACATAACAATCTTCCTCATATTTCCTTTCTAGTTGTATGTTTCTCTCCAGCAAAATATATATTACAAGATATTTTTCAGAAAAGCGTATTTAAAATACATGGCATTCTTACAGAATTTAAGATGATTTAAGTATTATTATAAATTTATTCAAGGGTAATAGATATATATTGCCAGATATATGCACTGATTGTGAGTTATTAGTGAAAATAACATATTCAGTTGGGTTCATTCTGGGATTCAAGCATTTGGCACAACTCTTAGTACTTACGGGTAGCCAATAGATATTGTTGAATAAATAAATGAATAAATGAGAAATAAATGTTTAATATTTTATGGGATCTAATTAGTGCTTACTAGAGGCTCAACAAATATTTGACTAATTGAGTGAGCAGTTGATAGAATAATTAAACAAAAGAGGAAACAAAACCAATCAAAGGTGTGGTTTGGTAGCTAAGAAGATATAGCAGGTTAATTGTAATAATAATAACAGAAATGACATCAGATAATGACCAAAACAAAAGTAAAATTAATAATGTTGAGAAATTTTGACAATATTTAAATCACTCATTATAATTTAGTTTTGAGATACAGCGTTTTTATTCCTAAGTATTACATAATTCCCTAACAGTTAATATTATGTAGATTCCAATAATTAATAAATACGAAATCTGTTATTAAAGTGGTAGTTATTTTATGCCTTTGTTTCTGTGACCTTCAATGAAAATAAAATACATACTTAAGAATTTTTTGAAACATGATCTTTCTTTTATCTATAATTGTTATGGAGACAAAGAATATACTTAAAATACCATATTAATTATGATATCAACAATTATGTCAATGAGTATATCAGTGACCTCTATATGACATAAGACATAATTTTTTCGATAGGTAAAATAAAAATGCTAAAGGAAGCATTAAAATAAATGTATTTTAAATTCTAACAGATAGTGATTCCATTTAAATTACAAAGGCAATTAAATTATACAGTTTAAACTTGAACATTTTATTTGCCTTTGCATGTCACAAACTTCTTTTATAGTAAAAGTTCAATACTATGTCAGAGTATATTTTAATTAAACAAATTCATTTGATTTTTGGATGTTCAGAATTTAAAATTTAAATTGACCATATTCAGACTTTGCTTTTAATCTGATTTTTCAGTTTTATTTTTTCAAATTCAGAAATATTTTAAACAAGATTATTTTAAGATTGAAAATTGAACAAAATATTCTGAGAAAATCCAGAAAATATTTATCCTTGTGTTATTACTTTACCAAGAATCTCTAATATTATATATTGCTTAATACAGTTTGTCTACCATTATTACTTAATGCAATATCTATTAATTCACCCATAAATGATGATTTAAACTTATTTTTTTATGAGGCAATTTGTTTTGAAATTGTGGAATAAGAAGCTGAAATAGTATCATTTTCCTATCTGTTCACTTAAAAACTATGACAAAATATAACAGTAACATTTCAAAATATAAAAGCAGTAGCAGTAAAAAAAAAACTGGTACATTAGCTGACTTTATGTTCTCAAATAGGATGACATACTTGAATTTCTTTCACGTAAAATCAGTACAGATTACCATAATTATACAGATGCTGTCTATGATGGTTTATCAAGTGAGTTACAGAAATATTTTGAAAAGTTAGATAAGTGCATATCCATCCATATGCCTCTATTTGCAAATGTACTTTTTTAAGCTAGAAAGGAAACCAGATGTTTCAGTATTTGCTTTGAATCTAACTTCAAAAGCCGTGGGCTTGGAAAATTAGGAATAACTAAATTTCCTAATACAAATTTGAAGTAACCCAAAACTCTGTGTCTAAGACCTCCAGAAAAGTACTGTTAGACCTAATTCAGCTTGACTAATGCCCACACAGTTACCTCGAAGTTGTCTCATGACACTTTCGTCTAGGCTTTATTTCTATCCTCCTGGGAAATTTGTTAATTTAAAAAAAAACAAGGGTACATGCAAACATTAAGGAAGACTTTTTGTATATTTTGGAGTATTTATTTTTCTGTTTGACCTGTGGGCTGGCTGAAGAGTTTTCTAGGCACTGAATTGCTTAATCTGAAACTCTTGCACTTATTTCTCTGAACACATAAACTAGAGTGGCTGTGTCTGTCACTATAAAAAAGATGCAGTTGGTCTAAAGATGATAAAAAATGTGAAGGCTGTTTTATTTTCACAGAAGGTAGAAAAAGCTGGAGCTAAAATGTTAGGAACTTCATACTTCAAATTCTCATTACTGTGGGGAGAACCCCAAAAGTCACATAAAATTTTAATAAGCTCTACTGTACAGCTTCAAATGCTATATGGCAATATGCTTCCAATACATAGTTTTAGGCAAATGCAAATAATAATTATCTGAAGAACACAATTCTTAATATCTAACTAATTAGGTAAAAATAATGCATTTGTAAAATAATTACATATAAATATGTAAAAAATTATCTGTGTGCAAATATATAAAAATATAATCCACCTTTTTTTTTTTTTTTTTTTTTGAGATGGAGTCCTGCTATATCTCCCAGGCTGGAGTGCAGTGGCACGATCTCGGCTTACTGCAACCTCCACCTCCCAGGTTCAAGCGATTCTCCTGCCTCAGCCTCCCAAGTATCTGGGACTACAGGTGCACACCACCACGCCCAGTTAATTTTTGTATTTTTAGTAAAGACGGGGTTTCACCATTTTGGCCAGGATGGTCTCAATCTCCTGACTTTGTGATCCGCCCGCCTTGGCCTCCCAAAGTGCTGGGATTACAGGCGTGAGCAACCACACCCGGCCAATATTATGCTACTTCTAATTGATTTAAATCAATTTTTAACTGAATGAACTAAAGATTTTTATGGCTAGAAAAAAAATACATTACTTCATTGGAAAAAAAAAAGTTTAATTCCTTATTGAAAAATGAGTTCGATTATTTACAAATACCCTTACTGATAAATTTATCAAAAGAATCCATGTAATGTAATTGAAAAGGCACTGCATATTTAATTTTGTTTATACAGCACAAAACATATATATATATATATATATATATATATGTACACTTTATAGGTATTTTTATCTCCATGAAAAATTATGTGTAGAATTCTAATTGATTTTTAATTCAGAGTTATCTTTTTGATATTTAAAAAAACGTAAAAATTCAAAGAATATAATGAATATGTGGCTTAACTCCATGTCAATAGAGTCATCAGTCCTGAGGCACAATACTAATCTTCTTAATTAAAGCAAAAGTTAAATTAAATCATATTGACACAATCTATCAGTTGAAAGTTTGATAGTGAGGTAGGCATAAATAAACATGATTATAAATTTACACCTCCGAGAGTAAAATAAAGTAATACCATCAACATAGATTGATCTGTATCACAGATTTTAAAGGCCACTATTAAAATATAAAATTTATATATTTTTCATTTAGGCATTTTTTCTTAATTTTTATTATTTATAGAGATAGAGTCTCCCTATGTTGACCAGGCTGGTCTCAAACCCCTGACCTCAAGGCAATCCTCCTATCTTGGGCTCCCAAAGTGTTTGGATTATAGGCATCAGCCACCTTGCCAGCTTGGCATTTTATCTTCTGATCCTATGACTTGAAACATACCCTACATGTCAATGACAATAAAGTACTTTTGGTAATGACATTTATTCTGTGAAAAAACAAGAAAAAAACCACAAATATTATGTAGAATACTAAGGTAGTCCTTTTATAGTTAGAATGTTTATTATAAATGTCTTGGTTCCTTAAAAAAGGCCTCCTTTTAAATTTTAGTACTTTGGTTTTTCTTATAACTGAATTATTAACTCAAGTTAGTAAAACATGTTATTTTAGTTTTGGTTCTTCAGAAATCTTCGAAGTGAGGCAATGATTCATTTATCATATTGATTTAAAAAGCTTTTATATTCTGGTTAAGAAAACAGTAATCCCTATAACACTTATAGCTTACTGACACAACCAGCATGCTCTCTGCCCACAAAGACAGGACAGTACATTTTAATAAATGAATGTGATTCTTAAAATTTCATTATTTCTCAGCACCCCATGGAAAATAAAGAACAGAAAAAGTAAAATTGATTGTGACTTTTGACAATTATTAGTTAGATAAAGGAGGTAACAATTGCCAAAAAAATCACAAAAGTGAGCATGTTACCTGGCTATGACAAAGAGCACACAACTGACACCCAAGTAAGCCAGCAGAATATACATCCAGATATCAGGGGAGAGAGGATTCAGGAAGGAGAAGACGCCTGGGTTTGTACCATTGGGCTTGCGGTACAAAATACTTATTCCAAGTGTCATAAAGGGCTTGGAAAAGTCGATGACCTTCTCTCGAACATAGGTAATAGCCAGTGGAGCAACTGCAAGGTCAGCTTTCTGTAGACAGAAACAAACAAAAAAAAAAAAAAAAGAAAGAAAGAAAGAGAGAAAAAATTGATTTTCAGTCACAAGAAAAAATCAGTAATCAAATTAAATAAAACAAAGGCTTTACACTTAATTGCCTCAGTAACGATTATGTTAAAATTTAAAGCATTCCTTACTCTGAAGTAAAGAATCTGATTTATTGCACTAATCATTTCTATGTTCTTCTAGATTAGCAAATCAGCATTTATTGGAAGTAGATATAGAAAAAAAAACTTCATAGAATTAAAAAACTGAAGAAACTATTGTACACTCAGTACATGAATTATGCTACTAGACTTTTCAAAATTGCTTTTATTTTAAACTTTAAAAATCTATTTAATATTAATTATTTTCTTAATACATTGGTCAAATTATAATAGTAATAATAACTACATCAAATTATATAGCTGAGAATTAACAGACATTTCTGATTTTAAAATATAGAATACAGTTAAAAGATTTTAGTCTTTAAATAGTTAAAATATTGTTTGAAACATCTCTCAGTGTGATTCTGTTTACTACCTCTGAATTTTGTTTCTATCCCTCTAATTTGTTTTATATTATTTAATGAAAATCCTTGCAGCCTTGCCTAAATCGCATTAGGAAATGAGTTTTTCCATTTTCACAAAGTTGCTAATTTT